>NW_018654724.1:0-93070 GCF_000001405.40 Homo sapiens | reverse complement strand
CTCTTGTATATTATATATGTATATCTATAGATCCTATCAGTTCTGTTTTCTGGAGAACCCTAATATACTGATGTATGATGCTGTGTCCACAGTGGTTAAACCCCTGGGAACCAAGTGCATGAAGCAGGTTTGATCCTTCTACCCACCCATCCTGCAGATCCACTCGAGTAATTTATGCTTCCCAGCTCTGCAACCTTAAGGTTTGCTTGATTGAAGGTCTTGGTTCCCAGCATGATGATCACTTACATAAGAGAGCACAGTAACCTTCCATAGAATCAAAAGCTACAGCTCCCGCCTGGTCACCGTATCTCCTTATGTTGGTGAATTAAGAGACAAAAAAGAAGGCTGGGCTGCCCTTGCTGCTTTTAACAGTGAATAGGACTTTGCAGCCACCAGTTCTCGCAACAGAAAAGAAGAAAACACATCCCCAACCCCAGCCCCTGGGACAAGGCTTGAATCCCCTTAACTCTGTAGGGCCGACCAGCTAAAATGTTAACCAATAATGAGAGAAGATAGAATGGGTGGTGTTCCCAATTACGGTCTCAAGAGCAGCTAAAGCAGGGAGTACTACTGTTTCTTCTATTGCTAACCCATAGTAGTAGTCATTTTTGGAGAGTGTAGCTGGCCACTACTTCGAGGAGAAATGTGTCATGCTTACTTGAGTGGATCTCAGTGGTACAGAGGGCAGGATAATTGTATTGGACGCCTCTTGTGCTCCATTGCGAATCCTGTCACTCCACCTCTGCCTCTAGCTCCTGTTGCAGAGCATGCCTCCACAAAGTCTGCACCCAGCTTTGTGCAGGGAAAGCCAGGCAGTGCCTCGCCCTAGGGCCATGTTGCCTCTCCCTTCCCAATCCATGGCTTCTAGGTCCCCTAGCAAGGGGAAATAACTCTAAAAATGTCTCTGACTGTTACTACCAGTTTCAGAGAGCTAAACCATTTTGTAGTTTCACTCAGTGTTATAAGACCAAACCACTCAAGTTTAGCCCGGCCAAATCACTCAAGATTTGGACTTCAAGCTACTCTATGCCAGAATGCCCTGTGATACAGACATTTCTGGGACAAAAATAGAGGTCTGGCTTCCCGCATACTGCAAGAACTGGTGGAGTGATAACTGTGATCATGCTGCAAAGCTCTCAGCAGGCATTTTATTCTGGCTTTTGCTGATCTGTTCCAGATACTTCACCTTAAGATGTTTTTGGGGTCTTCTTAATCTTCTCTGAGGGTGTGGGGGTCATAATGGATTCAAAGAGAGATACGGAAACTGATTAAACTCTTTGGTTAGAATAAGTTCCAGAACTGATTCAGAATGCTATTGATATGAAGTTCAGAGCATGTATATAGACAAGGTACCTTCTCAGGCTTAGACTGAAGATCACCTGCTTACAGATGGGCTCACCAGTGCTGAATGGGTGCCACCAAGCAGGAATAAATGGCCATGCTGACAAACATTGGTACTGTACACAAACCCAGACCTGGCCACAATGCCAAGGCTCTCTGAATGCACTACCCACCCAACTCCAGCTTATGTTACCAGGCCAGAAAGAGGGCAATGTCTACAAAGCATACCCAGGAAGGTGGACACTCTTCAATGAGGGGCATGGCCAAAGTTAAGGATTCATCCTGAGATGGATCACCTCTTCTTCGTTAGGGCTGGAGAACCAGCCATAAGCTCAATTGAAAGACCCCAAACTAGGGAGACAGAAAATGCAGGCCCTCCTTGGGTGGCACAGCAGGGCTTTTTGAAAGGCCTGAGGTCCCTGCTCCTGGATGAGCCACAACTGGTGCTGGTTAATGAAATGCCTGTAAAAGGATTATAGGAACTATTGATTTCTTCCCCTAGGCACTGCCCTATGTCATTGGAATTAATTCAAGTCTGAAATGGCGGGGGATGTTAAAACTGAAGGCAATCCTGTGACTCCTCATCCCAAAGAGCTGTTTGAATAGGCAACCTATTAGGGGCCATTCAACCCAGAATCTGGTAGAATGTGTGTGATATATTTTCCATCCTTGGCACCAGGCAGGGAGGACATCGTCAATACTCTCATGATGATGGATGGCTTTACTCACTATGTCCAAGGGTATCCCAGCAAAGAGCAAAACGTCTCCATAGCAGGCTGAGTTCACTATGAAATACTTGTCAGAACACATAAACCCACATAAATCCACTCAGGTTGAAAGAGACTGTGAGGATTGGCTGCCACACACAACATTGCACTGGACAGGGTTGCAGCAGCATTTCTATTCCAGGGGTTGATAAATCCCGTCTGCGGACTGATTTTAGGCAGCCTATGAGCTAAGAAAGGTTTTCACATTTTTAAATGGCTGGAAAAAAAATAAGATTTCATGATGTGTGAAAATTGTATGAAATTTAAATGTGTCCATAAATAAAGTTTTATTGGAACACAGCCACATTCATTCATTTATGTACTGCCTGGGCATCTTTCACACTAAATGACAGGGATAAGAAGCTGTAAAAGCTTAAAATATTTAGGATATATCTTAATATGGACTGAATTGTGTCCCTCCAAAATTCATATGTTGAAGTCCTAACCCCCAGTACCTCAGACTGTGACTGTATTTGAAGATAGGCCTTTAAAGAGATAATTAGGTTAAATGAGGCCATGAGTGGCCTCATCCAATATGACTGTTATCTCTATAAGAAGAGGAGATTAGAACACACATGTGGGCAGGCAGAGGAAAGGCCACGAGGACACAGCGAGAAGGCATCGGTCTGCAAACCAAGGAGAGAGGCTGTGGAGGAATGCAATGCTGCCGGCACCTTGATCTTGGACTTCCAGTCTGCAGAACTGTGAGTGTTTAAGTCATGCAGCCTGTGGTATTTTGTTATGGTGGCCCTAACAAGCTAATACCTGCACCTTTACAGAAAAGGTCTGCCTACACCTGTCCCATGCTACAATATCATCCTAAAATTCACCTGAGCCTTGGTATAAAATTTTATGTATTTCTGCTATAATCCAGTGTGTCAACAAGGGGACCAGACAGGGCATTGCTCTTTCATCTCCTTCCAAGTCCCATGGAGAAGAAGCCTGAGGGTTACTGCCTTTCAGGGAGAATCATCATGTGCTGTCAAGGTTGGCTACCTACAGCCACCATGGGTGGCGTCCAGATCACCCAGCAGCCCAGAAAAAGGAGCACTGACATCTATGGAGCTCTGGGCTGAGGTAGAGACAACTCGGGTCTGCATGCCATCCTTCCGTCAGTCCTGTGCTTCTGCCCCCTAAAGCTCTGCCTAAATGGTTCTAAGCTGTTTCCCTTCCTGTGGCCTCAGCAGCTCCAGGATACTGTGCACTGAAACAGTTCCTCAGGCCATGGTATTTAATCCTCTTACAGCTGTTAGGATGAGATCCTGGGTTTCTGTGTCTTTCTTCCCCTCCTCTCTCCCAGAAAGACATGAAACATCCTGGGCTCTTTTGTTATCAGGACCGTGTCTCTCTACATGTCTCATTTTTTTAAAAAACACTGAGTTGTTTGCCTCTTTCCTGCTCTAAGAGGACGGTTTATCAGCATTTGCTTGCTTTGCTGAAATGTGCCTCACAGATATGCAAACCTCACTTGAGAAGATGGCACCTATCCTAACCCTATCTAAAACACAGCAGTCCCTTCAGAACTGCAGCTGCCTTTCATGTCAGCTCCACAATTATCAAGCACAGCCTTCTACCAAGACGGAAAGTGCAATTTAGCGTTCTGCTCTTGCCTCCAAAAAAGAGAAAATGCAGAGACAAAATAAGGCTATCTTGAGAAAAACTCTATCATGTTTAGTAAATACATAGATGAAGATTAATGCAATTTATTAGTTATGAATTATTGGTATTTATATATATTTCTAAATAATATCAAATATACATTAAATACCAAGAAAGATAAGTCCTTTTTCTCAGTCTCTGATAACTACATTTAAAATAAGAGAAGAGCAAACACAAACACTTTGTCTATTAAATGTATTTACCTTGTAGGCCATTAGTATTATACTATAGCCAACAGTCCAGCCTAGCAATTAATATGAGGAAAAGAGCTGGTCACATGCCCACATCTCTCTGGTATTATGCTAAGTACCAGAGCTAATTAAGATATGGTGTTGCCTCGAAAAAGTTCACAGTATCATGGAGAAGATGTGAACGTGAAACCACCATGCAAGGTGAGAGTAGCTAACACAACAGAGAAGATGCTTTTAAATGAGGTCCAGAGAAGCATGGGGCTGGGTGGGGTGAAGTGGGAGTGAAGAGCTGAAGAATTCTTCCTGGACATTGGTGTCACCTAAGCTGAATCAGAAAGAACACAGAGGGTTTAGCTAAGTAAAAAAATAGCACAAATAAAATGGCAAATGTGCATCCAAGTAGAATAAATGGTTCACATGCAACATAAGAAGTGTTTCCATGATAACATAAAAGTGCTTGTTACATGACATTTTGAAGTGGAAAATGAAGCATCTATTCTTTACAGCTGAATCCTTGTCTGAAATCTCTACCTAGAAATGGCCTGATAAAGGTCATATCTACACACTCAAAATCTTGTTTGCTTTCTCTATTCTCTATTCACTTGGCCAACAAATGCTTTTGATCATCTACTAAGTGCCAGGCACTGTTTTAGGCACTGAAAATGCAAGAATGAGCATGAACTACCCTGTTCCTGCCTGTAAAGAACTAATACTTGGTGGGATTAAAAAAAAATACTTTTTTTTAAAAAAAAGAGATGTCTCATGCTATAGAAAAGAATCCACATAGATAAATCCTGATGATGAATGACAGTCCATTGATCTAGAACTGCCTGTCCAGCAAGGTGCTACCAGCCACATGTGGTTATTCACATTAATTTAGTTAAAATTGAACAAAATATAAAATCCATTCCCTCAGTAGCACTAGCCACATTTCAAGTGCTCAAAACCCACATGTGGCTCATGGATACCATAGTGTATAGTGCAAATAATAGAACATTTCCAAGTACTGAAGGTGCTATTGGACAGTGCTGTTCTAGAACAGCTCCCATGGGGAAAAAAAAAGTCTCCCGTAAGTGACAAAAAATTAAACAAGGATTTTGTCAGGGATCCATTGACAGCTGATTCTGTACACTGATTCACGCACAAAAGTCTCAAACTACTTTTAAAATTCAGCCCAATCATAATCCTTTCTAAATTGTGATTTCACCAAAATAAGATGTAATATACCTTGGATATAAACTTTACATGTGACATTTTATACTTCGGACACAAGACTAAGAACATGTTTTTATTGCCCCCATTTCTCAGACCTCATTAGCATAATAGTAAAGGAATAAGGTTCCACAAAAATTTTATTTTTAATGGAATGGAGATTTTGAAAGCAATTATAAGATTGTATATGCAAGACGAAGTGCAGCAGGAAAATCACAACTTAAAAGACATGGAACGGAGGTCTCAGTCAAGCTAGTTGCTGACTTGGAGAAATTAAAGGCCCAAAAGTACCAGCAAACAAGGAGAGTATTACTGAGACATGGGAAGAAAAACAGCCTATAGGTCGGGTGCAGTGGTTCCTGCCTGTAATCCCAGCACTTTGGGAGGCTGAGGTGAGCAGATCACCTGAGGTCAGGAGTTCAAGACCAGCCTGGCCAACATGGTGAAACCCCGTCTCTACTAAAAATACAAAAATTAGCCCAGCTTGGTGGCGCACGCCTGTAATCCCAGCTATTCAGGAAGCTGAGACAGGAGAATCACTTGAACCCAGGAGGCGGAGGTTACAGTGAGCCAAGATCACACCACTGCACTCCAGCCTGGGCGACAGAGCAAAACTCCACCACCCCCCACAAAAAAAAAAAAAAAAAAGCCTATAAATGTTGATTTTTTTTCATCCCATCCCTAACTTTTATGTGCAAAACACCTGGCTGCCTATTTTTGCAATACAAGTCACCTCCGGGCCACCACCTCCAAAAAAGGAAGATGATCTTTTTAAAGAAATTGGGCACAATATTGGGAAGAAACAGAAGAGTCATTTCAAGAGACATAGCACTAAGCAAAGCCATCTGTAATTTGGTGTTTTAGAAAGTATCAAGAACTAAGCCATGGAGCATGGAATGCAGGGTTCTTTCACTGCATTGGCCCATGTTGGGGGCCTCCTGTACCCTGCATATATAAGCAGAGACTACAAGTTAAAAGTCACAGAATGGAAGTGGTTTGAATACGCTTCATTTCATTTTAGTTTTTCTGTTATTTTTCTTTACTTGCGTGTATTCCTGTGAATACATCCTTGTTAAATTAAAAAAAAAAAAAACTAATCCATGAAGTCTGGGCTCTCAGTCATAAGTTTTTAGTGCCTCATTCTTAAGTATGAATGTGCAACCAAGTGTCACCAGATATTTCAGGAAATCCTGCAACATAAGGACCAAGATTAAAAAGACAATATAAAACCCAAGATTTAAGAAAGTAAATAAATTAACCCTGGGGGTTGCGGGGGCGGGTAGGAAAAAGAAACAATAAAGGAAAAGAAAAAATTTTAAGTGATACATTCAAAGACCTCTAAGGAAATAGTCTATCCACAAATAATAATATTTGCTATCAAAATGAAAAAATTAGAGAATCAGAAAATACTCAGGAATTAAAATATGATTGCCAGTCACTTGGAAGATAAGACATTCAATGAAGAATATCTTACAGAAAAGCAGAATATAAAGAAGAGATGATAGTCATCAAATAAAATTGGATGAAATCAAGTTTGTTTTCCATCAAACTAACAGATTCCCAACAGAGACAACAGAGAAGAGAAAAAAAGAGAATAATTAGATAATTTTTAGAATACTGAGAATAAAGAAAAGATATTAAGGCTTCCAGAGAATATGGGAGAAAAATAATCTGCTAAGGAAAGAGAATCACTAACACTGGAAGGTAGATGACAATGTAGTAATATCTTCAAATTTCTCACGGGAAAATAATTCTCAATGGAAAATTCTACATAAGCCAACCACTTAATCATTTATAAGGGCTGATTGAAGACATTTTCAAATATGCATGACTCAGCATATTGATTTCCCTCTTAGGAAGTTAATGAAGGGTGTAATTCAGCAAGAGGAAGGACTAAGAAAGAAGAAATTAGGGAATGTAGTAAAGAGATGATCCAACTGAGAAGAGCTATGAAGGACAGTCCCAGGATAACAGCTGTGTAGCTATCCTAGAGAGCAATCAGTTAAAAGCAGAGAAAGATAAATAAAATAAAATAACAAAATAAAGTAAAGGATATAGAGATAAGTGTTGGGCAAGGGGATATCAACAGAATAAATGGTAGTATATTGAGTTATTTTAAAATGAGGCTATGGTAAATGTATAGGGTAAAGTAAAAAAATAAAGGCAATAGAAACTCCATGGAAGACAAAGAGTTAAAAAAAAACAAAGAAAATCATTGTGCATTACACGGTGCTCTAGAGAACAATAAGTATCCAGTCAGATCAAGAAAACTATTTCATTTCCAAGTTATTATCAAACTCTTGACAAAGAAAAGAAGACAATTATGGTTAAAGAATGGAATCAAAGATTGTGTTGACAAACAAGTAAACAAGATTTGGAAAGTAAGTAGGAAGAGTTGAAAGAATAATGTTATTAATATACTCATATCACATCATATCACACTGTAGGTAATCAAGAGATATTATCTATATATAATGAAACAAGAGATTAAAAGGTAAAATATTACTTAGAGTTCAAGAGAAATCAATCAAGGAACTAAAGCTAGTAATACAGTCATCCCTTGACACACTAAATTAGAATCTGTGGGGTGGGACCCAGCAATCTGTTTTAATACTCCCTCCAGTAGAGTCTGACGCTTACTAAAGTATAAGAACCACTGCTATAGACATAGAAAAAAACTGGGAAGAATAGACACCCAATTATTAAGAAAGCCCAGAGGAGCAGGACTTCTGTATTCTTGATTTTTAATGAGTAAGTGTTATTTTCATAATATAGAGTTTACATTGTGCAAATATGTGTAAGTATATATGTGTAGCAAAATACGGATAAAGTTTCTGGAATCATCAAAGTATGTTTTACTTCCCCAGAAAAACAGAGGAAAAGTCTTAGATATGCTCTCTGGACACTGTAACAAATCCAAGACAGAGTTGAACATATGTACAGATATAACAAACATTCCAGAACTTGGATCAAAATTCTAAACGAGTACATATACAGCAAAAGAAGCATTTCCCACAGTCTCTCTCCAGCATGATAATACTGTATGTTTCTGATGTTCCTAAGTGCTGTATCCACATAAAATACACTGGCAAGAAAACTGTTAAATAACCAAAGCAGATTCAATTTCTTCCTCACAAATCTTATTCTAATTCTGGCTAAAAGAGCCCAAATTATTTCAAATATGTTCATTATACTGCTAATCAACTTTGATTTTCACAAATCAAAATGTAAATTAACATACTTAATCACAGCCTTTTTAATCCAGTAAGTCCATTCAACTCAATATTTTTGGATCATATCCTAAAGTAAAGAAAACCTATATAGGTTAGAAGAGTTCTCAGTACTTGAGATAAAAGCTATTTGTGTATGAAATACTTAGAAAGAACATATAAGGTGTAGAATCGAAATAACTAAAGCAAAACTAAAGGAGAAAAAAGAAAGAATAGATGACGTGATTCAAGTTCAAATTAAAGAATAAAGCCGACATAAAATGACAAGAATGCAGAAAAAAGACAGAGGAAGCCTGCCTGTCACCAAAGAAACCTGATGACAGAATCATAAAATGAAATGGACCTGGAGAAAACGGTGACTTAAAAACCATCATTACATTTGATTTATATAATCCAGTTTAACTGCCTGTTAGAAAAACATTTGGTGCACATCTAGTAGCAATTTTTTTAGCCATTCTTTTTTTAGAAGATTTATTTGCAACAGCAAATACTGGTTAGAATTCTATAGCAAAGGCGAAATATGAGTGCAAATATTCTCTAGCTCAAAATTCTGAAAATTTATTTCTCCCCTCGTTAGGAAGACCAGAAAATTCTGAGATTATTTTTAATAATAAAAATGTAAAAATAAAGCACTTATTAAAGCAAATCAGAGTAAACCCACTTTAACTCTCCAATGCCAAGTCATGGTCATATTAAATGTCTTTTTTAGATTACTCCCTTTTTAGACCATGAAGAAATACTACATAATAATTGGAATATATCTGTGTTCATATAAGTACAAGTCGCTATACAATATTCTTTCTGTTTTACTAATAAAATTAGTAAGTCATGAAACATTAACCTATATTCAGGGATTAGAACCATCAGAGGTTTCTTCTGTTATATGGCTATTTCTTCCCTGGACTTATGTATCAGTACATCACGTGATCATTATTAGTACTGAAATTTCAATGCAACATTTATATCATTACCATTTAAAAGCCTTAAAATTTAAGTGCACATTTTATAACAAAATTATAGCCAAATATTATCTAAATCTAAAATTGCCTTTGACCATTTAATAAAAATTATCTATAACATATCCATTTCCTCTGTCATCACCTTATAGATAGGACATTATCTTTCTCTTGTTGATCCAATAACGAGCTCCTGTGCCTGACACATAGTAGGACTCCCAAAATGGTGGTTGTACAGAATTGAAACCAGATCCATGAAACTATTTTCTTGGTTTTTCTGTATTTTATCTATTTTTGTCTCAATGAATAAAGTTTACTTGATTATACGTGATGCTGAGGTGTTTAATTATCAGCAAACATAATCACTCACATATTTCTCTAGCTTTAAAAAGCCTTATATTTTGGTTGAAATGAGACCTGAATATATTAAGAATAGAAGAATTGCATCTGAAATTGAAGTACAAAATTAAGGTAACTGGAGCACAAATATGCGAATTGAAAAAAAAAACTGCTCGTAAATTGCAAGAATAAACATTAACCTAATGGCTTATTTACCTTTTAATTCAAAAGGTAGCTCGTCTTCCCTGGAAGCACAGAACAATGAGAGTCACAGCTTGCATGTGACCGTTCCTATCCACAGTCCCAGAAAAATCTCAGACATCAATGACTGCCAGGATGTCCGGCAAAACAGCCTCTTTTGTGGACAGGTTGATGAAAAACATCTATTTTAAAGCATCTCAGTCTCTTTGCTTGGAATCCATGCCTATTCACAAACCTTATGATTAAATTTTTGTTTCCACCGTTAGTCAATTAACATTATGATTTTACAAAAATTGGGTTTATTCACCCAGTTCAAGAGCTTGACAAGTGGGAGGGACACCTTTATTCGCAGGAATAAGGTGATTCAAGAACTCCTGTCCTCAGACAAGAGCAGCTCCGGCCGGGTTTATTTCACAGGATCCGGAGTCCAGGCCGCCAGGCACTCTCTTTGTTTTTGTGACCGTTTTTTTGAAGCTCAACTTCCTCACATCACATGGAAGGAAAAATATGTATTTTATGTCCCATTTTATCAGATTAACTGTTAGAGTTTTAGGGAACTTAGATTTTCCAAAAGAAGAGTCCACGGAGGCATAGAAATAATCAGTGACTGCCTCAAATCACCGTCGCACTCCAGCCTGGTCCATTCTGGGTCCAGGCACGCAGGGAACCGGCACGCACGGCGCCCACGGCTGCTCCGCGTCAGGTAATGGGCCCCACGGCGGCCAGGGACGCACCCTAGCACCTGAGGTCAGCCTAGGGCCTCGACTCCCGGAAGTGAGAAGGCTGTGGCTTCGGGGACAGCCGGCTAGGCAAAGTGCCCGGGGCGGAAATGCCTTCCATGGTGCCCCCAGCTGGGGCCCAGCGGCAGCTCCCCGGAGACCAGGGGTTCCGCCCTCAGAGACTCAGAATACCCCTGCCTGCGGCGACCTTGAGCCTCCTGACTTACTGAGCCTGATGAGGCCTGCCCACGGGGGCGTTCACAGCTCCCTAGGGGCCTCCACTGAGCAGCCAGCTTTGACGCCACCGCTTTGGAGCCTCGCCTCAAGAACTGGCTGAGCGACAGCGATCTTGGCAGGGAAGCGGAAGTGGTCATGCCGAACCCAGCCTGTGCAACACCCGGCACTGCCATCGCCCTGACACAGGAGGGGCTGCTTTTCCTTCTGACCTCAAACAGCTCCACGGAGAAGGGCTCATGCCTTCCAGACCGTGGGCCTCAATCCTGAAGGCTTCAGCCCACCTTGAGGAATCTTTGGTATCATCGGAACCCAGCAGCTCAGGGGAACAAAGTCAGCAGCAGCAGGAACAACGCCTGGGCACCAGAAAGCAGCATGGTACAGAAGGAGAATGAGAGAAAAGGCAAGAAGCCCAGAGGCAGTTCTGGAACTTAGGGCACCTCTAAGCCCACAGCACCAAGTCCAGTAGGGATTTTAAGGGTGGCTGGCACAACCAGGATCAAGAATGTGTCTTGGCCCAGCCATCCTCGATTGGGGTCTCTGGCTCCTTCTAGCCCCATTGGCTGCCAAGGTATCCAGCCAGTGGGTAGGGGTGAGTTACCCCAACTGGAGGGGCAGATAGAAATGTAAAAGTTTACCCTATTGGTCACAACCATGACTAGAAATGTTGTGACTTCTGCACGCACTGCACTGCAGGAAGCCACTCCATCTTTGGCAGGGAGGGATGTCATGCAACACTACGGACATACTTAAACTGAAAAAAAATATTCCTACAAAGGGAAACACACTCTTACCATATAATCCAGCATTCAAACGCCTAGGCATTTGCCCAAATGAATTTAAAGCTTACGTCCACACCAAAATCTGCACACAGATGTTTATAGCAGCTCTATTCTTAATTCCAAAACTTGGAAGCAAGCAAGATGTCCTTCACCAGGTGAATGAGTAAGTCAACTGTGGTACATCTAGACAATGGAATATTAATAGGATTCAGGGCTAAAAAGAAATGGGCTATGAAGACATGGAAAGATATGAAAGAAACTTAAAGGCACATTACTAAGTGAAAGTAACCAATCTGAAAAGACTGCATACTGTACAATTCCAACTTTACAACATTCTGGGAAAGGAAAAACTATGGAGGCAGTAAGAAGATCAGTGGTTGCCAGGAGTTTAAGGGAGAGGGGGATGAATAAGCAGAGATTCACAGATCATTATGACTGTGAAAATACTCTGTATGATACTATAATGGTGGACACATATCATTATACATTTCTCAAAACCCATACAACACCAAAAGTACAACACCAAGAGTGAATTGTAATGTAACCTGTGGACTTTGGGTGATAATGATGTGTCAATATAGTTTCATGAATTATAACACATGTACCACTCTGCTGGTGGGGGATGCAGATATGAGGGAGGAGGGTGGTCAGGAGTTATATAGGAACTCTTCTGTATTTTCTGCTCAGTTTTACAGGGAACCCAAAACTGCTCTAAAAAATAAACTTTATTAAAAGTGAAAAGAAATATTCTTTGTTGATTTGAAATTCAATTTTAATGGGCATCCTGTAATTTTACTTGCTAAATCTAGCAACTCTGTTGGAAGAGCACTAAATTTCAAGTTATATAAATTATAATGAATATTTTATTTAATATATTGGATATATTTTGAGTCCCTACTCCCCCTCCTTAGCAGGCGGAAGCCCCAATTGAGTAGAGGGAGAGATTTAGATGGCCTGGATACCCCAAATACCGGATTCAGTTAATCTGGCACAATTTAGCTCCCTTTAATGAGCCCAAGGATTAAAAAGAATATTTTTACATGAATTTCTAGTCTCCTAAACTAACATTCTTTGTTTACATAGGGCTTATATTCAATCAGAGGCTTTTTTTTGTCTACATGTGTGTTGTTTAAGTAATTTCATTCAATCTGTGAAGTCAGAAATGGATTTCAATTATTTCAGTGCTCACCAGTAACCTAAAGTGACATCCAAAAAATGCTCTCCATGAATGCTTGCAAAATTCTTCTTCTTCTGTCTCAGATATTTTAAAAGTAGTACATCTGACCTCTAATGCAATGTGCTTTCTTCTCATTAATAGGGCTCTTTCTTAGAAGCTCATTTACACGATATCAGTATAAATTTTATATTTTATTTATTCAAGGAGCAATCTCCACCAAACTTTGCAGAGCCATGATTAGAATCTCTATATTTCTGAAGTCACCTGTCAACACAACTGTGCTTGAATAATTACATTTAGCAATCTATAACCCCAGGCAGTTCCAGTTGCTGCAGCTATGCCTATGCTGAGATTTTAGGTATCAGCACATCACCAAGATAACAATAAAGCTCATAAAACTGAACCTATTATCTGCCAAACGTATCTCTGGATACTTGCATCTTAGAGAGAAGTCTATTATAGAGATACTGACACACATCACAGCCCCCACCATCCCCACTACATACTTACAATATTATTATTGACAGTAAACGATGACTAAGGCTTGTCATCTACCATAAATGGCTGATCTGTCTGCAACAGATTTAATTTACTGACATAAAACATTCTCATTTTCTGCCTACCCAGGTTAAGCAGATGCCTGAGAAGTCACAGAGAGTAATAATTCCCACCCTGGTGGCTGACTATTGGTCACTGATTATAACTGGACATTGGAAATTCTTTGCTGCAAAATATCTATTATGAATATGAAGGGACTTTCAAGTTATTCATAGTCTTTCTTAGAGGCTTTTATTAGAGGCTTTTCCAAATCCAAAAGCCAAGATAAAATAGCTCAGCATAGCATTCATTTTTAATGACTCTCAAGCTAGAATGTAAATCCCTGTTCGGCATGCATTAACTCTCATCAGGATTTTAACAACTGGCCTAAATCTTGCCTTCCCCACACTGGATGGGAACGCTCGGCAGAGTCACGATGGTGCCACACAGGCAGGGGCTGAGAGCTGCAGATCTCATAGCCACTGAGTGGAAATAGGAAAAAGCACTTGCAATTTTAAGAGTGAGGCCAGCTCCTTCACTCCTAGAGTCGTGTACTGGACCACCCCACTCTAACCCACCTTTGCAAGAAAGAGACAAATCAGGGGTTTGGCTATTTATTCTCAGTGAAGAGGGAAACCCTTATGGGAGTAAATGAGTGGCCAAACATTAAGAACAAGTGGTGCAATTAGAAACCACAGTTTTGGTCTTAAGGGTCTCTGGAAAGAAAATCTAGAAAATACATAATTTTCTGTAGCAAAATCTGAGAATACAGACCTAGACATTTACCTCTATCTCATTTGGTGGGCCCTTGGAAGAAAATAGAGCAATGCCCAGGAATAAAAATAAAAATCAGATAACCCAGCATAGTATAAAACACACTCAAAGACAATAAATAGAACTTCGTATCAACAGTGATCTTTGACATGATGGAATAAATTAGTCACACCATATTCAATGAGTACAAGCATCACACCTGTCTACCTGAGCAATTATCATGTAAATATGTCCTCTGTGTGTATGTGCCTTTGGAGAATATCCACTAGTATATACAAAATCCCACCAGAGGATAAAATAAATTATTAAAAATAAATAAAAACTCCATATCTAGTCTGCAGAAAGAAATCATTCTGTGCTTTGTGGCCCACATGCACAAGCTTGCTAAAAAATATGTGGGTGTATGAAGGTACCTGGGACCCTTGTATAAAACCAAATTTAAAATTTCATGTCTGGGACGCTAAACATTCACTGCTCAGAAATTACCTGCTATGGGGCATGAAGCACCTCTTTGGAACTTTTCCCTTCATTTGCCCTGGTGGGTGAGCTGTGTGCCTCTTATGAATACTCCATGATGAAGTTCAAAGAAAGTGACTCAGAGAGCACAGTGGAACTGTTCCTTAAATGTAGGCTGCCTCTTATAAGGAGGAAAAAAAGGAATCTGGTTACTTTGGCTAGCCATTTATTTATTTATTTATTTTTTAGAGTCTCGCTCTGTTGCCCAGGCTGGAGTGCAGTGGTGTGATATCAGCTCACTGCAAGCTCCGCCTCCCAGGTTCATGCCATTGTCCTGCCTCAGCCTCCCAAGTGGCTGGGACTACAGGCGCCTGCCACCATGCCCGGCTAATTTTTTGTATTTTTAGTAGAAACAGGGTTTCACTGTGTTAGCCAGGATGGTCTCGATCTCCTGACCTCGTGATCCGCCTGCCTCGGCCTCCCAAAGTGCTGGGATAACAGGTGTGAGCCACCACGTCTGGCTCATTTAATTATTTTTAATTTATTAGCCTCCACATGCTACTCTCCCTTTGACATCCCTAACCCACACATGGGTGTAAGGCCTAAAATTAAGATGCAGTTTTGTATGCTGTCTTGACATCTGGGAAACCAGGAGGGCCTTCAATGGCCTTACCTCAAGTTCCCTCCCTCCTGTGGGAAAAATACCCTAGCTAAAGGACACTCCTTATCATGGGACCACATATATCCCTGAGTAGCGGGCTTCAGTTTCCTGCCAACCCATGGAGTTATCCAAACAAGCCAATCACATCCTCCTCCTCTTGTTACTACAAAGCCTACCTCCCCCATCCAATCACATCCTCCTCCTCTTGTTACTACAAAGCCTACCTCCCCCATCCCCTGCTGGACACCTGTCCGGTGTCAGGTGCCGTGGGTTTGGCCATCTCTACAACCCTAGGGTGGGAAACCCTCTATCACCACCAGGGTGAATAGGAGGAGGTGCCTAAAACAACCCAGTTCATAACTGATTGATTGAAAATTGCCTTGAGCCCTCCCCACATGAACTCTGAGCTGCTGGGACAGGTCTTTCAAGGGCAGGCCTCTCCTTATGATGCCCTGCCACAGAATGGATCTCTGATCCTCTGTTTTTCAATTTACAACAAATTGGCCTGGTGAGGTGGCTCACGCCTGTAATTCCAGCACTTTGGGAGGCCAAAGTGGGAGGATCTCTTGAGCCCAGGAATTCAAGAGCAGCTTGGGCAACAAAGCAAAACCCCATCTCTAAAAACAAAAAAATTAAAAGAAAAAAATTAGCCATGCATGGTAGCACATGCCTTGGTCCCAGCTACTCAGGAGGCTGAGGGAGGAGGATCAGTTGAGCCCAAGAGTTCAAGGCCACAGTGAGCTATGATCATGACACCGCACTCCAGCCTGGGCAACAAAGTGAGACCATGTCTCTTAAAAAAAAAAAAAACAATTGAGTAAGAATAATTGTATATTGAATCTTTTTCTCTCCTTGAATTGAACAATTTCTCTGAACACATGAGTCCATGGAAGAAACATTTTTCCTCTGTTAACAAAAACCTTTCAGACAGTTTTCTTTCAGGTCACTTTTATACCAAACACTATTCTTCCTTTCTCTTTTTTTTTAAGCTTATAATGTTGATTTTAGGAGTAACCTTCACCACCACCTACAACACAAATTATACTCCCTTACCTTGCCAGTGAAAATTCTAAAACTTCCCCTGCAGCAGTCATTAAATAATAAATACTTTACTGCCATGATTTTATCCATAAACACTCGATGGTTTACAGATGGATTTATAAGGATCCCCAGGGAACTATGACTGATCACATCCTATGCCAGTTCTTCTCCACATCCCCCGACCACACTAACTCTTCTCTAGGCAGAGATATGACAGTCACCACTGAGCCATCTTCCGAGGAACACAGGGGTCCCTCCTGACAGCAGAAGTTGCTAGAACGGCTGGAAATACACGTCCAGCTGGCATGCCCACTGACGCGTGTCCGTGGCCCAGTGCAGCTCCCTGGGAAGTGTGTTGCTGCACCGTAGGCTCCGCAGCAGGGAGTGTGCTCCCAGGATCACCAAGCCCTTCAGGTTCCAAGAAGAAAGCAGACTAATAACTGGATTCACTTTTGACAGCCCTTTGGAAGCCCTGTCCCTTAGCACCACTACCAAAATAAATGCTACTGTGGCCAATTCAAAAGTTCTTTCTTTCAACTTCTCTTACTTAGACAAATACTTATTGAAGAGCTATTATTTAACGAGTATTGTCCCAGATTCTAAGGCTATAGTACTGGATGTACTGCAGCATTCTTCCTCCATTGGCTCACAGTAGTGGGCGCCACAGGAAAGGAAGCAGTTAAAATACTATAGGAATAAAGGTGAGTGGACAGACTGTGGTACAGCCAGACAATGAAATATTATTCAAAAATAACAAGAAATTAGCTATCAACCCACGAAAAGACATGGAGGAAACTTAAATGCAAATTTCTAAATGAAGGGAGGCAGCCAGAAAGGCCTTTATCCTGCATGACTCCAACTGTACAATATTCGGGAAAAGGCAAAACTATCCAGAGAGTAAAAGGATCAGGGGCTGCCAGGAGCAGCAGAGAGGCAGGGATGAACAGGCAGAACACAGAGGATTTTTAGGGCAATGAAAATATTCTGTATAATATTACAGTGGTGGATATATGTCATTAGTCACATCAAAACCCACAGAGTATACAACACCCAGAGTAAACTATGGACTTTAGTTAATAACCATGTATTAATATTTGTTCATGAATTATAACAAATGTCTCATATTAGTGGAAGATGTTAATAGAAGAAACTGTACAAGGAAGAATAGATGACAAATCTCTGTACTATTTGTTCAATGTTTCTGTAAACCTAAAATGGTTCTAAAAACTAAAGTCTATTAATTTAAAATCAAAAAATGTATAGAAAAGTCCCATTTTAGCACCAATTGCATTTTAGCACCAGTAACTAATAATGACTGTTCAATGTTTCACAGGCCTGTTGGCACTTAATCTTCAGAGCAACCTGTTACTCTCCCCAGTATGCAGATGATAAAATGAAGGCAGTAAAGTTGAATTCTTTGCCTGGATTCACAAAGTTTGCTATGGGCTGGCCTAGGTTTGACTACAGAACTCAGGTCTTAACCATAACAATCTGTGTTTTGCCTCTTCCCTAAAAGACACCATATAAACGTCTGTGAAATGGGGGAAGTATTCCCCTTGCCTTGGGTGGAACTGAGGTGGAATCACAAAGTTCTTACTGTGTTCAGAGTACTAATCTTATTTAGGCCGTGGAAGACTGGAGTCAATGCCAGTCATGCCCCAGTGTAAAATAGATCAGGCCAGAGGTGGTTAGGACTGTATATGATGACTCTTCTGTACTGAACCTCTTACCAGTCATTGTTGATCTGGGACAAATGGAGAAAGGCTCTTTGATAATAACCATATTTTATGAGGAATAATCACTTTAAATAAATGACCAAAAATGTAATGACTTAAAGCTAATCTTTAGAACATCAAGCTATGAAGTACCTCCTCCAAGATTGTATTAGTCTTCCTAGTGCTGTCTGGTACCAATATCCTACTTGTAGATAATGAACCGGGCTCAAGTAAGTCCTATTCCAGTAGCCTCACCAATGCAAAGCGAAATGGAAGAAGCCCCAAAAGATAGTAGTAGAGGAAGACTCTATCTGCATAAAGATGCATGGCCACAAGAGGGCACTGCAGACACAATGTGGAATGCAGATGCCCACAGGTACCCAGGCGGTCACTCACTGCAAAGAGAACCAATGGGCAAAAGTTAACTCGCTTTCCAATTTTAAAAGACAAATCATGACTTAATCTACAGTAGTGACTGAATCTATATTTAAATCCCAACATGCTGCAGAGCTATTTAGTATTATTCAGAATTAGAATTATTTCCCTTAAAAGCTTCCAAAGTAATATTTAAATACTATTAATCTGTATCTTACTTATACAACTAAGTATATTATATAGCAAGCAATAAACCTAAATAAAATTGCTAGTCAAATTGAGCATGGATTAAGTGATCAGAGAATGTCATACTTCTTCAATTCTGCCCAGTGCTTATCAGAGCACCGTTCCTTCACTTAGTAGGAACATGTTACAAACTGTCATTAAATATATCTGATAAATTAGTAATACATCATCAGAACACAGCCTACAGTTTTTGGGATAAGGGATTTTTAATATAAAAACCTTCTTGAGTGTTTTCCTACTGTAAGAAATTTTTAGTAGCTTTTCTCCTGTATTTATGTGATGCAGGCTTTGATCCCAGGAGACTGTCTTAACTCTGCAAATGCCAGGGAATCCATATTTACATCATAGAGATGGGCTATGGCAAATCAAGTCAGTAGCATTGGATGGTACCAGTTTAGTTTATTCCTTAAATGAAAAACACAAAGGCTGTGCATTAACTCATAGGACCAGCTAACAAAGGGGTCTCCACATTGTCAAGTTTAACCAAGAGCAAACGGGTTTTAAAACACACCTTTACATTTTTATAATGGGGAGATGAAGAGAAGAAAATTGTGCGTCAAATGTTTTCGAATACTCATATCCATATGTGGAAATAGAAATTAAAATATCATCGTAAGAAGTTATAAAAAGCATTTGTGCAGAACCACAATATTTTGATACTATTCAAACAATAATATCTATCTTAAGGTTTGAAAGAAAGTATAACATTAGGCATCAGGTTTTTTTACTTTTTAGTTTATGATTGAGAATTAAACCACAATATAAAACCAAAAATATTTTCAAAGAGAATTTAGAAGTTATGTTGATTTATGCAAGAAGTAGTGTTATCATATTATTAATACATTAATTAATACAGCTACATTTAAAACCCTGTAGACATGGGTGTACATACCAATATTTTTTCTCTTTATTAACAAATAGAGGGAAATTATATGCTACTGTTAATCTAATTTCCTGCTTCACAACCCTCTTTTAATTTCTGACATATGTTTATGTCTGAAACAGAAGAGCAAAGCACTTGCAAACACCCCTGAGTTAAGCCTAACACTTCGGGAACTCTTGAGGATTTGAGCGACTGGTGTGGAGAGACTGTCAGTATGCAGTGCCCTCTGCTGGCCAAATTATTAAACATCGCGATAAACAAAATTCCCAAGTGTTAATATTACAATGTGGGGGAATAAAACTAAGATTATTTTGGAATTAGCCCTATAATTCCGGAGAGTCACCATTCACTACCATAATTCCTTAGTGAACAGAGATTTACTTTTATGGAACAAAACAAGCGCAAAGCTACCTGGTACAAAGAAACATCCCCTGCCAAGAATGGAATAGAGAGTGAGACTTCTTATGCCTGCCCAGGTCTCAGGTCCAAAGTCACCCCAACTGTTACCTCTTTCTCAATCTTACCGCCCCTCCTCCATGTCCCACAGCCTCTCCGTGCTTTCACTTCCCAGTTCTGCTGCAATCTTTCAGCTTGTATCTTCTCATTGGAACTGTGAGCTCATCCAGCAGAGATATGTGTCACTCCTCCTGGAAGCCTCGGACATTACAAAAATTCAGTAACTGTCTGTCCAGTTTGGGTTTCTTCAAAAGCTGTAGAATTAATCATAGGGCCAGAATCAGCAATGTTGCAATGCAGTTCCCGGTGATGAATTTAGGAAGTTGTCCTGGACCCCAGAAGTGAGACTTTTAATCATGAAGAGTGGTGAACACAATGTGTGTGGCATAATAAACCTCTGGCTGTGTATTCATTAATTTTAAAGAAGAAAACGAGTACAACATTGCTGCTAAGACTTAGACGGGCTTCTGTGTAGAATTTCCATTTGGCTTCCAGGACAGATTCTTGGGTTCAGAGGCCACTAAGAAGGGGGAAGGAAGAGAGAGAAGGCAAACTTCTGGGCCAAGGTTCAGGGGAGGTGGAGGCAAACCTCTGAGACAGAGAGAGAAAGGCAGGCCTCTGAGACAAAGAGAAATCATTCTGGGCTCCTCTGTAGGGTTCAAACTGATTCGGTTTTATCCGGAGTAAAACAAAAGCAGTCATTTTAATAAATCCTTGAAATTCACATCTTTCCAGGTGCTGTAAGAGCACTGGGAAGACAGAAAGCTTAACTAAATCTTTGTCAATGAATATTTAAGCAATATACCAGGAAGCCTTTCAGGTGATAAACAAAACCTAGTAATTATAAAGATAAAATTGTGCAATTTGACTACAATAAATAACAAGCCTTTACTCTGCAAAACAGCATTACCTAAATGTCAAAATACAAGTAACAAACTGGGAAAAGTATCTGCAACACATATGGAAAGGCTACAGTCCTTACTATTTAAAAAGTATTTATACAAACCAGTAAGAAAGTTAATGCTAACAACCTAATACGACACACGTGAGCAATTTTCAAGAAAGGAAGGAGATTGTGTCTAAGCACGTGTCAATATAGTCAACCTCACTAATAATAAAATGCAACTATTATACCTAATTAATCTAACAACTATCAAATAGGTAAAACTAAAAATATTTTATAAACTTTGTGTATTAAAGCAAATGACCCCTCTAATATGCTGTTGGCAAGAAAACTTGATTCTACAACTTTCACACAGAACAGTTTGGCAATATCTATCATAATGCACCTTACACACACGCCCAGCCATGTCTAGGCATTTTCCCTACACATCTATTCCCATTGATACAAGGAAATTCATAGCATTCTCATTTTTAATAGCAAAAAAAAAAAATATCTGGGAACAACCTAAATGTCCATGAGTGCAGGCTGAATAAAGAAATCATGGGCTGGACGCGGTGGCTCATGTCTGTAATCCCAGCACTTTGGGAGGCCAAGGTAGGTGGATCACTTGAGGTCAGGAGTTCGAGACCAGCCTGGCTAACATGGCAAAACCCTGTCTCTACTAAAAATACAAAAATTAGCCAGGCATGATGGTATGAGCCTGTAATCCCAGCTACTTGGGAGGCTCAGGCAGGAGAATTGCTTGAACCTGGGAGGCAGAGATTGCAGTGAGCTGAGATTGTGCCACTGCACTCTAGCCTGGGCGACACAGCAAGACCGTGTCTCTCAAAAAAAAAAAAAAAGAAAGAAAGAAAGAGAGAGAGAGAAAGAAAGAAATAATAGTACACCAATATTTACAGTGTACCAACATTTAAAGTGAGAGTAGGATTATATATACTAATTCAGAAAGATTGCTGAGACATTGTTTATTGGAAAAATGTGCAGAATGAAGATGATCATACACTCTCATCTTGGGTTTACAAAGAACATATATGTGTTTGTTTATCAACAGCTTCACTCTGGAAAAGTGTAGAAGGACCTCTGGGAAATATGGCTGGGAGGAGACTGAGTTGCACTGTATAGAATATACTCTGGCACTTCTTGTTCATTTTTGGCCATATCGTTATATTACTGTTTCAAAAATAAATTTGAAAAACTGCATTTTGGGAGGCTGAGATGGGAGGATGGCTTGAGGCTAGGAGCTGGAAAAAACCCTGGGCAACATGCTGAGACCCTGTCTCTATTTAAAAACAAAACTATATTTAAAAATAAACATTTCCAGCAGTTTCATCTGCAATGTGAATTGCATATGTGCAGTTAACAATAAAGTCCCTCTGTCTAGCTTCTAACTTGTCAGACACAGCAAAGAGGGTGCAAAGATGTTCGGACTGAGAAGATGAGCACTTGGCTCCCCAGGCAGGGGCTCGTGGTGACTGGAGAATGAGAACTGGATCCTAGACTCTAGGCAAGGCTGCCCGCCCCTCCCTGCCCCTACTCCCTTGGGAGTGGAGCCTTCTCAGCAGAGGTGCCAACCAGATCAGGGGTCTTGAAAGGCAGTACAATGACTCTGGGTCAGACATCCTCGATTGCTCCTAGGTAGATCACTACACTCAGCAAACGCCCAGGATCCTCCTGAGAATGAGAGTGTTTCTCCAGCACAGCTTACAGAGAAGCCCCTGAAAGCCCGTGAGGCCACTGCTGGGGTGTGGAACAGCTGCACTGGTCACCTGTGGATACCTGTGACCAGCAGCGCATGAGTCTTTCCTAAAGGTGTCTCTATCCAGGTAAAACTCAAAGTTAGATGGGCTGAAAAACTGATGAGGTTTGAGCACCACTTTTCAATGATTTAAAAGAAGCAAACCGTGCTGACAACATAGGAGTGTACACAAATTATTTCAGATGAGTTTATCAACAGTCTTTGTATTAGGCCATTGTTGCATTGCCATAAAGAAATACCTGAGACTGGTCATTTATAAAGAAAAGAGGTTTAATTGGCTCACAGTTCTGCAGGTTGTAGAGGACACGATTGAACATGGTGTCGACGTCTGCTCAGATTCTGGGGAGGCCTCAGGATGCTTATAGTCATGGCAGAAGGCGAAAGAGGAGCAGACCTCTCATATGGCAGGAGCAGGAGCAAGAGCAACAGAGAGTGTGAGGTGCCACACACTTTTAAACACCCAGATCTCAGGAGAATTCACCTGCCACGAGGACAGCACAAAGGGGATGGTACTAAACCATTTATGTGAAATCCACCCCCAAGATCTAATCATTTCCCACCAGGCCCCACCTCCAGCCTTGGGGATAACATTTCAATATGAAATTCAGGTGGGGACACACCTGCAAACCCTATAAGTGTTCAAACTTTTTGATTATGGGTCCCTACCATAAAAAAACTTTTAAGCATGTACTTGCATTCTATGTATATTCACATAAGCGTATAGACTTATCACTGTACTCAATACTGTGCACATTACAAATCAAATACAAAACAGAAATGCTTAAAGTGTAATATAAACCATAGTTTTCCTGCTGTCATACTCACCATTTGGAAATAACAGTTGTGAACGGTGCTTCTCACACTTCAGACATCTGCACACTGTTAATGGGTTTTTGGTGCATATAGGGACTGCCATGTTTAGTACAATCTTAAGAAAAGTTATAACAATATTTAAGACTAACATTAATTGTGAAATAATCTCTCTTTCCTGCCATTGAAAAGCATGAAATCCAGTCCAGTAGACTGCCCGATTCACAGGACAGCTAGTTACTCTACATTTGGTAAATAGAACCTTCTGATACAAATTCATGGTCCTCTTGGGAGTCAGTGACTGGTGACTCTCAGCTAGTTCTATACATTCAGCTTAATCATGATCATGGATGCAGAAGTTGTACAGAAATTGCTATGAAAAATCACTTACAGGATTGGAGAGATGCTAAATGGAAGGCCTCTCAGATTCAAAAGCTGGAAGTTTGAGTTATGTAAATTTAGGAAATCATGGAAAATAAATTCCTCATCCTCTCTTGGATTGACTTGACTCTGCGAAGTATTCTTTCATTATCTGTGGCAGCATTAGGATGTGGTTTATAAATATTCCCAGTAACATCTCATTGATTTCATTTTCTGAGTAGTGAAGAAAATCATCAAGTATGGAAAAGAGTTAAGCTCCCAGTGTGCCCAAGTTTGGTCTCTAATAATTCCTAATATTACAACCTCAATGGTGAAAACTGTAATCATTCAGTTGTAGGTGACAGGTTCAGGCTAGGCCAAATAGTAATATATTCCCAAACCACCACATATCACAAAATCATCTTTACCGGTTTTATCAACAACATGAAGAAGTGATTTTACCTCCGTGTAAATTTATGCAAACAGCTTTTCTATTAGCAATGTATTTTGGTGTTTTTAAATGCAGTTTCATAGCCCACTCCCTCACTCAAAATACTGTAAATAAAAAACACCTTATGTCTAAGATTTTATCTTCTCCGCAATTTTCACTATTTCCTTTAACAACCAGAGTCATGTTGTTGACTATGAACCTTTCTCTTTGAATAAACACTGACTATTGGTGGAATCACTTTATTTTTATATAAAAGCCCTTGTTCATTGAACATATTTCAGCCATCTTAAAAATACTAGTCCCCATGCAGGGAACCCCTGGCTTGGGCCCACAGCACAGACTCTCCATCCTGGACTGATTGCACTGAGTGATTGACGACCTGCATTTCTCTGGGGTGGAGTCCCCAGGAGACAAGCAAAAGACCCTTGGACACAACCACTACTAATGTCCCTTCCTCTGCTGCCTCCAAGTTGGGGAGGGAACATAAACCCTGAGATCACCCCAGAGCTGTGGTGGGTAGCTCAGGAGTGCCAAGCTGCAATCTACAGCCAGCACTCAAGTGAGAGAAGAGCCAAAATTTCAGAGCACTGAGAGGGAGTGTGGCTGCAACAGTAAGGAAATATAGGGAAGCCACACAACTGAGCAACAGCCTAACAACTGACCGATATGCCTAAGCACCACCTACTGAATCACACTCCAAAGCTTCAACCCCCAAAATACCTCACTAACATACCCTACTGTGAAACCAAAGACAAGCAGTCAGCTACAAATAAAGATGCTGCACAAAAAGCCTCATCCCTGTGAAAACATCCAGAAAAGAAGTCTATTGACTGTACTCAATATACACTGCAGTTAAAGGAACACCCACATGCAGAGATGAGAAAGAACCAATGCAAGAACTCAGGTAATGCAGTAGTTCTCCAACAAGAGTTCTTTTTTTCTTTCCTTTTCTTTTTTTAAGACGGAGTCTCGCTGTGTCACCAGGCTGGAGTGCAGTGGTGTGATCTTGGCTCACTACAACCTCTGCCTCCCAGGTTCAAGCCATTCACCTGCCTCAGCCTCCCAAGTAGCCGGGACTACAGGCACGCACCACTACACGCAGCTAACTTTTGTATTTTTAGTAGAGACGGGGTTTCACCCTGTTGGCCAGGATGGTCTCAATCTTTTGACCTTGTGATCTGCCCACCTCAGCCTCCCGAAGTGCTAGGATTACAGGCATGAGCCACTGCGCCCGGCCCCAACAAGAGTTCTTAACCAAGTTCAGTTGGCTGAAAAGACAGAAATATAATTCAGAATATGGATAGGAACAAAGATCCTCAAGATTCAGAATAGTAAAACCCAATCCAAGGAAACTAAATATCACAATAAAATGATACAGAAGCTGAAAAATGGCATAGCCAGATCCTAATGGATCTCACAAAACTGAAAAACACTACAAGAATTTCACAATGCAATTGCAAATATCAGTAGTGGAATAGACCATGCTGAGGAAGGAATCTAAGAAATTAAAGACTGCCTCTCTGAAATAAGACAGTCAAATGAAAATAAAGAAATTAGAATGAAAAGGAATGAACAAAACCTCTGAAAAATATGGAATTATATAAAGAAGGCAAATCTACCAACCACTGGTGTCCCTGAAAAGGAAGGGGAGAAAGCAAACAACTTGGAAAACATATTTCAGGATATCATCTATGAAAACTTCCCCAGTCTCGCTGGAGAGGCCAACAGTCAAATTCAGGAAATAGAGAACTCCTGCAAGATTCTACTCAAGAAGATCATCCTTAAAACACGTAATCATCAGACTTTCCAAGGTTGAAATGAAAGAATGGTAGAGGCAGCTAGAGAAAAAGGGCAGATTGCCTACAAAGGGAACACCATCAGGCTAGCAGTCCACCCCCCAGCTGAAACCCTACAAGCCAGAAGAAACTAGGGGCCTATAGTCAACATTCTTAAAGAAAAAAAAAATAACCAAGAATAGCCAGCCAAACTAAGCTTCCTACGTGAAGAAGAAATCCTTTTCAGATAAGCAAATTTTGAGGGAGTTTGTTACCACCAGATCTGCTTACAAAAGATCTTTAAAGGAGAACTAAATATAGAAAGGAAAGACCATTACCAGCAAATACAAGAACACACTTAAATACACAGACCAGTCACACTATAAAGCAACATAATAACCAGCTAAAAACACAAGGACAGGATCAAAACCACTCATATCAATACAAACCTTGAATGTAAATGGGCTAAATGCCCCCACTTAAAAGGCACAGAGTGGCAAGCTGAATAAAAAAGCAAGACCCAATGGTATCCTGTCTTCAAGAAACCGATCTCACACATAATGACACCCATAGGCTCAAAATAAAGAGATGGAGAAAAAATCTACCAAGCAAACGGAAATCATAAAAAGCAGATCCCATCACCAATATATATGCACCCAACATAGGAGCACCCAGATTCATAAAACAAGTTCTTAGAGACCTTTAAAGAGACATAGACTCACACATAATAATAGTGGGAAACCTCAAAACTCCATTGACAGTATCAGACAGAACATCAAGACAGAAAGTTAACAAAGGTATTTAGAGGCTGAACTCAACATTGGACCAAATGGATCTGATAGAGCTCTACAGAACTTTCCACCCAAAAACAACAGAATATACATTCTTCTCATCACCACATAGCACACTGACCACGTAATCAAATATAAAACAATCCTCAGCAAATGCAAAAGAACCAAAATCATACCAAACACATTCTCAGACCACAGCAAAATAAAAATAGAACAGGACTAAAAAAATTGCTCAAAACCATCAATTACATGGAAATTAAACAACATCCTCCTGAATGACTTTTGAATAAAAAATGAAATTAAGGGAGAAATCAAGAGTTCTTGGAAACTAATGAGAGCAAACCTATAACATATGAGAATCTCTGGGACACAGCTAAGGCAGTGTTAAGATGGAAACTCACAGTGCAAAACATCCACATCAAAAAGTTAGAAAGATCTCAAATTAACAACCTAATATCACAACTGAAACAACTAGAAAAGCAAGAGCAAACCAACTACAAAGTGAGCAGAAGACAAGAAATAACCAAAATCAGAGCTGAACTGTAGAAAATTGAGACACGAAAAACCATTCAGAAGATCAACAAATCCAGGAGTTTGTGTTTTGAAAAAAATTAATAAGATAGACAGGCCACTAGCTAGACTAATAAAGAAGAAAAGAGAGATGATCCAAACAAACACAATTAGAAATAACAAAGGGGATGTTACCACTGACCGCACAGAAATAAAAATAACCGGAAGAATCTACTATGGACACCTCTATGCATACAAACTAGAAAACCTAAAAGAGATGGATAAATTCCTGGAAACATACACCCTTCCAAGACTGAACCAGGAAAAAATTGATTCCCTGAAGAGATCAATAATAAGCTCCAAAATCGAATCAGTAATAAATAGCCTATCAACCAAAAACAGCCCAGGACCAGATGAATTCACAGCCAAATTCTACCAGATGTACAAAGAAGAACTAATAGCATTCCTACATAAACTATTCCAAAAAATTGAGGAGGAGGGATTCCTCCCCAACTCATCCTATGAGGCCAGCATCATCCTGATACCAAAACCTGGCAGAGACACAACAAAAAAAAGGAAAACTTTGGGCCAATATCCTTGATGAACATTGATGCAAAAATCCTCAACAAAAACAACAAAAAAACTTGCAAACTGAATCCAGCAGCACATCAAAAGGCTAATCCCAAGGATGCAAGGTTGGTTCAACATATGCAAATCAGTAACTGTGATTCACCACCTGAACAGAACTAAAGACAAAAATCACATGATTATCCCAACAGATGCAAAAAAAAGGCTTCTGATAAAATCCAACAAACCTTCATGTTAAAAACTCTCAATGAACTAGGTATTGAAGGAACATACCTCAAAATAATAAGAGCTATCTATTACAAATCCACAGCCAACATTATACTGAATGGGGAAAAGCTGGAAGCATTCCCCTTAAAAACCAGTGCAAGGAAAGGATGCTGTCTCTCACCACTCTTCTTCAACATAGTGTTGGAAGTCCTGGCCAGAACAATCAGGCAAGAGAAAGAAATAAAGGTCATCCAAATAAGGACACAGGAAGTCAAACTCTCCCTGTTTGTAGATGACATGATCCTATATCTAGAAAACCCCATAGTCTCAGCCCAAAAGCTCCTTCAGCTGATAAACAACTTCAGCAAAATTTCAGAATACAAAATCAATGTACAAAAATCACTAACATTGCTACACACCAACAACAGCCAAGCTGAGAGCCAAGTCAAATACAATCTCATTCACAATTGCCACAAGAAGAATAAAATACCTAGGAAATACAGCTTATCACAGAGGTAAAAGATCTCTACAATAAGAACTACACGACACTGCTCAAAGAAATCAGAGATGACACAAACAAATGAAAAAACATTCCATGTTCATGGATAGGAAGAATCAACAGCATTAACATGGCCATACTACCCAAAGCAATTTACAGATTCAATTCCATTCCTATCAAACTACCAGCAACATTTTTCACAGCACTAGAAAAAACTATTTTAAAATTCATGTGGAGGTTGGGTGCAGTGGCTCACACCTGTAATCCCAGCACTTTGGAAGGCCAAGGCGGGTGGATCACCCAAGGTCAGGAGTTCAAGACCAGCCTGGCCTACATGGTGTAACCCTGTCTCTACTAAAAATACAAAAATTAGCCTCGTGTGGTGGCACATGCCTGTAGTCCCAGCTACTAGGGAGGCTGAGGCAGGAGAATTACTTGAACCCAGCAGTGGGAGATTGCAGTGAGCCGAGATTGCACCACTGCACTCCAGCCTGGACAACAGAGCGAGACTCCATCTCAAAAAAAAATATGAATTTTTTTAAAAGCCAGAATAGCCAAAACAATCCTAAGCAAAAAGAACAAAGCTAGAGACATAATGTTACCAAACTTCAAACTATACTACAGGGCTACAGTAACCCAAATAGCATTGTACTGGTACAAAACAGACACACCGACCAATGGAACAGAATAGAGAACCAAGAAATAAGGCCACACAACTATGACCATCTGATCTTTGACAAAGCTAACAAAAACAAGCTATGGGGAAAGGACTCCCTATTCAATAAATTGTTTTGAGATAATTGGCTAGTGATATGCAGAAGATTAAAACTGGACCCCTTCCCTACACCATTTACAAAAATCAACTCAAGATAGATTAAAGGCTTAAATGTAAAACCCAAAACTATAAAAACATTGGACAGCAACTGAGGCAGTACCATTCTAGACAGAGGAATGGGCAAAGGTTTCATGATGAAGCCACCAAGAGCAATTGCAACAAAAGCAAAAATTGACAAATGGGATCTAATTAAACAAAAGAGCTTCTGCACAGCACAAGAAACTATCAACAGAGTAAATAGACAATCTACAGAATGGGAAAAATATTTTATAAACTAAGCATCTGACAAAGGTCTAACAGCATCTATAAGAAACTTAAATTTATGAGAAAAAACAAACAACCCCATTAAAAAGTGGGAAAAGGACATGAACAGACACTTTTCAAAAGAAAATATATGTATTAGTCTATTTTCATACTACTATGAAGAAATATCCAAGACTGGGTAATTTAGAAAGAAAAACAGGCACCTGTAACTCACATGGACTCACAGTTCCACATGGCTGGGGAGGCCTCACAATCATGGTGGAAGGCGAAGGAAGAGCAAAGGTACATCTTACACGGTGGCAGGCAAAAAAGAGGGTGTGCAGGGGAATTGCCCTTTTATAAAATCATCAGTTCTCAGGAGACTTATTCACTATCACAAGAATAGCATGGGAAAAATCCACCCCAATGATTTGAAGGGGTGACCTGCCCCACCACACCCGTGGGTATTTCTAGTTGGGTGGGACGAGAGACTGAGAAAAGAAATAAGACACAGAGACAAAGTATAGAGAAACAACAGTGGGCCCAGGGGACCGGCACTCAGCACACCAAGGACCTGCACCGGCACCAGCCTTTGAGTTCCCTCAGTTTTTATTGATTATTATTTTCATTATTTCAGCAAAAAGGAATGTAGTAGGAGAGCAGGGTGATAATAAGAAGGTCAACAAAAAACATGTAAGCAAAAGAATCTATATCATAATTAAGTTCAAGGGAAGGTACTATGCCTGGACGTGCACGTAGTCCAGATTTATGTTTCTCTCCACCCAAACTTCTCAGCGGAGTAAAGAATAACAAGACAGCATTACTGCAAACATGTCTTGCCTCCCGCCACAGGGCAGCTTTTCTCCTATCTCAGAGTAGAACAAATGTACAATCGGGTTTTACACCGAGATACTCAGTTCCCAGGGGCAAGCAGGAGACGGTGGCCTTCCTCCATCTCAACTGCAAGAGGCTTTCCTCTTTTACTAATCCACCTCAGCACAGACCCTTTACGGGTGTCGGGCTGGGGGACAGTCAGGTCTTTCTCATCCCACGAGGCCATATTTCAGACTATCACATGGGGAGAAACCTTGGACAATACCCTGCTTCCAAGGGCAGAGGTCCCTGTGGCTTTCCACAGTGCATTGTGCCCCTGGTTTATTGAGACTAGAGAATGGCAATGACTTTTACCAAGTATACTGCTTGTAAACATTTTGTTACCAAGGCACGTCCTGCACAGCCCTAGATCCCTTAAACCTTAATTTTATAGAACACATGTTTTTGTGAGCTCCAGGTTGGGTCAAAGTGGCTGGGGCAAAGTGGTTGGGGCAAAGCTACATATTAACAACATCTCAGCAAAGCAATTGTTTAAAGTACAGGTCTTTTTCAAAATGAAGTCTCTTATGTCTTCCCTTTCTACATAGGCACAGTGACAGTCTGATCTTTCTTTTCCCTACATGATTCAATTATCTTCCTCTGGGTCCCTCCCATAACATGTAGGGATTGTGGGAGCTACAATTCAAGATGATATTTGGGGGGGACACAACCAAACCATATCATTCATCCCCTGGCCTCTCCCAAATTTCATGTCCTCACATTTCAAAACCAATCATGCCTTCCCAACAGTCCCCCAAAGTCTAAACTCATTTCAGCATTAACTCAAAAGTCCACAGTCCAAAGTCTTATCTGAGACAAGGCAAGTCCCTTCCACCATGAGCCTGTAAAATCAAAAGCAAGTTAGTTACTTCCTATATACAATGAGGATACAGGCATTGGGTAAATACACCTGCTCCAAGTGGGAGAAATTGGCTAAAATGAAGGGGCTAGAGGCCCCATGCAAGTCCAAAACCCAGCAGGGCAGTCAAATCTTCAAGCTCCAGAATTATCTCCTTTGACTCCATGTCTCACATCCAGGGGATACTGATGCTAGAGGTGGGTCCCCATGGTCTTGGGCAGCTCTGCTACTGGGCTTTTCAGGGTACAGGCCCACTCCTGGCTGTTTTCATGGCTGTCATTGAGTCTTCTGTGGCTTTTCCAGGCACATGGTGCAAGCTGTCAGTGGATCTACCATTCTGGGGTCTGGGGGACAGTGGCCCTCGTCTCACAGCTCCACTAGGCAGTGCCCCAGTTGAGACTCTGTGTAGGGGCTCCCACCCCACATTTCCCCTCCACAGTGCCCTAGCAGAGGTTCTCCACAAGGTCTCCGCCCCTGCAGCACACCTCTGCCTAGACATCCAGGCATTTCCATACATCCTCTGAAATCTAGGCAGATGTTCCCACACTTTAATTCTTGCCTTCTGCACACCCACAGGACCAACACCACATGGAAGCTGCCAAGGCCTGGGGCTTGTATCCTCTGAATCCACAGTACAAGCTGTACATTGACCCCATTTAGCCACAGATGAAGCGGATGGGATGCAGAACACAAAGTCCCAAGGCTGCACATAGCAGGGGGGCCCTGGACCTGGCCCAGGAAACCATTTTTCCCTCCTAGGCCCACTGTGATGGGAGGGGCTGCCATGAAGGTCTCTGGCATGCCCTGGAGACATTTTCTCCATTGTCTTGGTGAATAACATTCTACTCCTCATTACTTATGCAAATTTCTGCTGCCAGCTTGAATTTCTCCCCAGAAAATGGTTTTTCTTTTCTATTGCATCATCAGGCTGCAAATTTTTCAAACTTTTTTGCTCTGCTTCCTCTTGAACTTTTCACTGCTTAGAAATTTCTCCCACCAGATACCCTAAATCATCTCTCTCAAGTTCAAAGTTCTACAGTTCTCTAGGACAGAGGCAAAATGCCACCAGTCTCTTTGCTAAAGCGTAGCTAGAATCACCTTCACTCCAGTTCCCAATAAGTTCCTCATCTCCATCTGAGACCACTTCAGCCTGGACTGTTTGGTCAAAACCACTCAACAAGTCTCTAGAAAGCTCCAAACTTTCCCACATCTTCCTGTCTTCTTCTGAGGGCTCCAAACTGTTCCAACATTCGCCTGTTACCCAGTTCCAAAATCACTTCCACATTTTCAGGTATCTTAATAGCAGTATCCCACTCTCAGCACAAATTTACTATATTAGTCCATTTTCAAACTGCCTGGAAGAAATACCTGAGACTGGGCAATTTATAAAGAAAAAGTGATTTAATAGACTCACATCTTGATATGGCTGAGGAGGTCTCACAATCATGGAGGAAGATGAAGGAAAAGCAAAGGCACATCTTACATGGCAGGCAACAAGAGAGCATGTGCCAGGGAACTGCCCTTTTATAAAACCATCAGTTCTTGTGAGACTTATGCACTATCATGAGAACAGCATAGGAAAAACCTGCCTCCATGATGCAATTACCTCACACTGGGCCCCTCCCACAATATGTGGGGATTATGGGAGCTACAATTCCGGATGAGATTTGGGTGCATACACAGCCAAACTATATCAATATATATGTGGCCAACAAGCATATGAAAAAAAGCTCAGTGTCACTGATCATTAGAGAAATGCTAATCAAAACCACAATGAGATACCATCTCACACTAGTCAGAATGGCTATTATTTTATTTTTTTGTTAGTTTTGAGACAGAGTTTCACTCTTGTTGCCCAGGCTGGCGTGCAATGGTGCAATCTCAGCTCACTGCAACCTCTGCCTCCTGGGTTCAAGCGATTCTCCTGTCTCAGCCTCCTGAGTAGCTGAGATTACAGGTGCCCACCACCACACCTGGGTAATTTTTTGTATTTTTAGTAGAGACAGGGTTTCAGCATGTTGGCCAGGCTGGTCTCGAACTCCTGACCTCAGGTGATCCACCTGCCTCAGTCTCCCAAAGTGCTGGGATTCCAGCTGTGGGCCACCGTGCCCGGCCTCAGAATGGCTACTGTTAAAAAGTCAAAAAAATAACAGATGCTGGCAAGTTTGCAGAGAAAGAGGAACACTTGTACACTGTTGGTGAGAGTGTAAATTAGTTCAATCATTGTGGAAAGCAGTATGGTGATTCCTCAAGGAGCTAAAAACAGAACTACCATTCAACCCAGCAATCCCATTACTGAGTATATACCCAAAGGAATAGAAATAATTCTGCCATAAAGATACATCCACACATATATTCATTCCAGCACTATTAACAATAGCAAAGACATGCAATCAATCTAAATACCTATCAATGACAGACTGGAACAAGAAAATATGGTACATATACACCATGGAATACTATGAAGCCATAAGAAAGAATGAGATCATGTCTTTTGAGGGAACATGGATGGAGCTGGAGGCCATTATCTTTAGCAAGCTAACGCAGAAACAGAAAACCGGATAACACATGTTCTCACTTGTAAGTGAGAGCTAAATGAGAACTCATGAACACAAAGAGGGAAAAGCACACACTGGGGCCTACCTGAGGGTGAAGGGTGAGAAAAGGGAGAGAAGCAGGAAAAATAACTGATGGATACTAGGCTTAATACCTGGGTGATGAAGTAATCTGTACAACCCCCATGCCACAAATTTACCTATGTAACAAACCTCCACATGTCCCCAAGAACCAAAAATAAAAGTTAAAAAAAAAAATACTAGTGCCACTGATCCTTTTCCAGGCTCCAGCACAGCTCACAAAGTAATGATTAACTAAACAACAAAATTTTTATTGTATATATTTTCAGTAAAAGAAAAAACAAATAAAAATTATCCAGCTGTCTCCCCTCATCTATACTTGGTACTTCATGTCAGACATGAAGCGTAGATCTATGAGCACATGTGCATGACAGTCCTTGATTTTCCAGTGTCAGCCACTGGTACTATGCAACCTCCAACACTGATTCTAATGTTTGATCATGGAATTTTGTCAATGGCTTGATTGCCATGTTCCCTGGATGAAAACCAATCAATTTTTATAGCTGGTTTTACAAGCATCTTGTCAGTCAAGTTTGTAAATTGCACGCATTTTTCTTTAAGGAATTCACCTTTCCATAATCTCTCTGTAGCACTGGTCATTTCTCTACCACTACTGAGGGAGAAAAAAAAGTCCATTTTAAAAATTGAAAATATTTAATTTTTTGTTATTCTAAATATCTGCAATTGCCTTACCAAAAAAAGGTAATGGGGTTTTGTTTTTAAAACGCCTCAAAGTTTGTATGGATTGGTGCCACACTTTGAAAGAATTCTAGCCCAGACATCATGCCACAATAAACAGGGATAAATGGATTCTATATCTTAAAAAATCTACTGTTAGGGCATTCACACATGACCTTTCGACTGCTTGTTCAAAATCTTCACACTCAAAAAGTCAACATTTATGAGCATACATAGATTCACATTTTATATTTACCTAGAAACCCAGTTACTATTTGCATTTATGAAATTATTTTGATTTTAATATATGCATTGCTATTTTCCTCACTATTTTTATTCCTCAATGAAACACTTTCAAGCCTTTGATCCATTTTTGTGAATTATGAGTATGATACAACACAAAACTAACAACTCAACATGCAAATTTAACAAATCTGAATAATACCATGCAAATAATATAAAAATATGCTGGTTGAGATAACTTCCTATAAATTGGAAGTTAGATAAGACAGACCAGTGGAATCCATAGAGTTCATGCACAGCTTTTAAGAGTAAAAGTATTATTAAGAATGCAATGGCATTCTATGAAAATCGTAATGAAACGTTTATTACAAATATGTAAAATGTTCATAGGATGTTTTTAAACTTTTTCCTCTAAAACCACCAGCAGCACAACTGTTAGTCCACAAGAGACCTTGAAAGTCGAGAAAACTAAATGCTGTGCTGGAGATCCAGATGTGGACATCCCTTCCCAATGTCAGGTTCTGCAACATCAATCTCATTGATAGCTTGAAATTGGCCATGGTGGAGTCATTTATACCTTGAATATGCCCAATCACTATAAATTAAGACTTTTCGGGGTGAGGGAGTGCTGTGATGATACCCAGTTTACCAGCACAACACTGGGAAGGCTGCATTTTTAGGAGCCCTAGAGGCTCCTAAAAATTCTAACCATAGAATTCTAACCATAGAATCCCTTCTTCCCACATTCAATCAGTTGTCAAATCATTCATTCAGTCATTCGACATATACTTGAATACACTGTAGAACATGCACTGTTCCAAGCCCTGGGTCTAAGTGCAAGGGAGTGAACAAAACAGATGTGTTCTTGCCGTCATAGATGGATAATTCGGTAGTTGAAACAAAACTGTAAATTACTTAACAAAAAATATTATAATATAAAACAAGTGCTATAAAGAAACAGAGCTGGGAGTGATGATGCAGTAACAGAAAGGAAACAGACCTGACTCACACATCAGGGAAGGCTTCTCCAAAGAGGGCAAGAGGATGAGGCTGTCAGTTTCCAAAGAGAAGGAAGAGCTCTGAAGGTTCTGAGTAGGAAATGCCCACCGTGTGCATCCCAGAATGCAGGCAGTGGCTGGAATGCTGGGAGAGAGGAGGGCAAAGGAAAGGAAGCTGAAGAGATGCTCAGGGTTGCATCCTCCTGGTCCTGAAGGCCACAGTGAGGAGTCTGAAGTTTACTTCCAGGAAAATGGGAAATAATGAAACTGTTTTAGGCAGGTGAGCAACATGTTATTTTATTTCTATATATTTATTTATTTATATATATTAGAATATATTACATATATAATATAGATATGTCTGTCTTATATACGTCTATCCTAATATATATTACATATATAATACAGATATATCTATCATAGCTGGATGGGGAACAGAAGCAGTAGGAAAATTTAGGCAAGATGGAGGTTTGGACTAATGTGGTCAAAGAGAAGATGGAGATTGGTGGATAGATATGAGATGTATTTAACACACGAAAACAACAGGGTTTGCTGACTCACTGCCAGGAAAACAGAAATTGAAGATAACAGTGTCCTGGCTTGAGTGACTTCGATGATGAGACAACTTATTAAGATTGAGAAGACAGGTAGAGGAACAAAACTGTGAAAGACAAGGGGAAAGAGAGAGGTTGGTGGAAATATCCTGTTTGAGAGGCCTCTCAGCAATCCACGGGCAAGGCCAGGTGGGCATTTGGATAATACTCACAATGTTTCTCCTTTTCTATTACCATTAGCTAAGACCTTCAGGGGATATTTTGTCATCTAAAAATGCCCCCCTTATGGAATCTATCCCATGCAACACTGACATATTTGCCTTCTTAAAATGTCATGATGATTGTTGATTCTCTTTTCAAAAATTGCCCCTGCTTCCCTAGATTAACTTGAGCCACAAGCTCCCATCTGCTCTTATCTCTCACTATGTCTCTACAAACACCAGCCAAGTTAAAACATTCTCCCATCACTCCCCAGATATTTCTGATTGTACATTTCTTCATGTCCTGTCCTGCTCTCTGCTTGTAGTTCTCCCATCACCGCTTCAGTTTCCACTACCTCAGACTACCTTCTACTACTATCCTGTCAGATGCCCTGATCTTTGTGACATCCTCTCAATTCAAACATGAATATGAATGTGTACCACTTAGGAAGTTGTGTGATGGGTTTTGTAAAAGGAACCCACACTTTGGCATCAGAAGCTCTGGGGTAAGTGCTATCCCTATCATTTATTATCTGTGTTTTGAAAAACTTGCTTAACCTATTTGGGCTGTGACTTATTCATTTATGAAATGGAAGTACCATGTGTGTTGTGGAAATTCAATGAAACTGAAAACAAAAATGTTTTCAAACTTTCAGACCCATAACAATGCTAGTTTCTCAATTTTTAACCCATGTTCCCTTTTGATAAACATAATAACAATGTTTAGCTTCTGAGTATAAATTCATGTAATAATGTTGAATATTTTTGTAAATACTCATCACTGCCTGGCGAGTCTTTCTTCTTTGAATGGAATGCAACCATCCTACTTAAACCCACTAGTTAAAATCCCTGTTTGAAGGTAAAAATATGATTGGGTCCGTCACTATCATTTGTATATATGGTTTATCATCTTTATTAAATAACATTATCTATCATCTTACTCATTTTTGCAATACATAAGTATTTATAATACAATCTACCCAGTAAAACCTCAATAAATATTAATTGAATCAATGAATTGATTGGATTCAATTGCAAATTAATTGAGCATCACAAATAAATCATTCTTGATGTCGAGAAAATTGAAAATAAGGACCTAACAAGAAGGATTCTGGGGAAAAAGAAGGCATTGTATACAACATATACAATTCATTTCTTCAGTCACCCTTCATCAGCTGAGACACACATTATCCATCTCATTCTACCACTTAGTGGTTTTCACCTTCCGTAAATCATGTCTCTGTGTTTTCGCTCATACTGTTCTCTCTGCCAGGAATGCTCATCTCATTCCCCCCACCAACTCTCAGCACAACCTTAATCTTCCTAGAGAAAACCTAAATTACAATAGCTGGAACCCAAGGGAGAGTCAGCACCAACAATGCAGGAGAGAAAAAAAATGGTGGAAGAGTGTCATGCCAATGCAAGACTTTCTTTTATGATATGCTGATGAATATACCAGTGATCAAATTTGACTCAATCCATAAATTACACCCTGCTATCCTTGAGTCAATAAAACTCATATTCTACTTAGGCCCACATGTGTCTAGGGCAAGTTCCTTCTGAATCCTCTCTTAAAATGTCTTGGAAACAAAGGCTATAAGAACCAGTCCTTGTCAAAAATAGATATTCTTCTGCCTGATGCCTACTTCCTCAGACCCATCATTTTGACATCCAATAACAGCCCCCAAGAATTGCACACATTTATTGAGAACATACTGTTTGCCAGGAACATTATCCTTTAATCCTCAAAGTTATCTTATAATGTTGACACTTTCATTGTCCCCATTTTAGGGATTGGGAAACTGAGGATTAGTGAGATTGAGTAATTTACTAAGGGTCACACAGCCACTACACATACAGTGGCAGCAAAATTTGAACCCAAGTCTGTCTGGTTCCAAAGTTCAAAATGTTACACATTGGTTTATGATACCAGTGGTCCCATATGATTCTGCTCAGGGGTGCTTTCTTCAGTTTGCCCCAACATGCGTGTTCCCTCTCCGTATTACCCCCATAATTACTGACCACATGTTTCAAGATTCAGGTTCCTGAACTTCTACAGTTAGAATCTTAATCAAGAATGGTGCCTAGGCTGGGTGTGGTGGCTCGTGCCTGTAATCCCAGCACTTTGGGAGGCCGAGGCAGGTGGATCGCCTGAGCTTAGGAGTTCAAGACCAGTCCAGGCAACATAGTGAAACCCTATCTCTACCAAAAATATGAAAAATTAGCCAGATGTGGTTGCACACACCTGTGGTCCTAGCTACTTGGGAGGCTGAGGTGGGAGGATCGCTTGAGCCTAGGAGATCGAGGTTGCAGTGAGCTGAGATCATGCCACTGCACTCCCACCCGGGTGACAGAGTAAGACTCCATCTCAAAAAAACAAAAAAAAGCCTATAAATTGATACCATCTTTTGTTCTTTAATCTAGAGGCTAGTTCCAAAAATAATAGAGATTTTAGACTACAATATTTCTTTCTCTCTGTAGACTTTAACATCTCAAATATCAGTGATGATTGCTTGTTAAGATGGAGAAGAGAATAGACACAAAATGCGCCTCAACATTTGCCTGCAGTAAAATGCGTAAGCTGAACGATGATTAGTAAATAAGATGGCCACATTACAGAAAATAGGTTTAATAAAATGTTGATGAGCTTCCTTTCTTCAAAGGTTAATAACCAGGAACACTTCCAAGCTAGTATTTCATCGGTAACTCTGAGTCGAAAACATGAAACTTACTTCCCTAACTCTGATATTGCTCATCAACCAGAATGCAGTGCTCTTTAAATTAGGGCTGCCTTGTTGCCATTAGTGGCAGTTTAAAAAACGTTTCCATTAACCATGAACAGAAGCTGATCGGGGAATGCAGTTCTTCTAAATCATCTGGGACACAAAAGATGATCTCCTTATGAGAATTATAATTCTATGGAATTATTAGCTTTATTTTTCTAAGTGAGCATCAATTTTTCCTTCAGGACATTTGTGTCTTTGGTGTTGAAGAAAGAACTACATTAATCAATCCTACCCTAATCCTGAGAGCTGTAATCCTCTTTTTATTTTCAAATCGATATCAGTGCAATGTGACCAGCATTTAAATGACCATTCCCTGTTCTATTTGCCAGTGTTTTACATGCCAAAGATATTTTCCCAAGGAGTCCTGCCATCGTTAAGATCAAACTTACCAAGGTCTCCGAGTCTTCTGAATCGGTTCAAAAGTAGGGAGAATTGGATTTGAGAGTGGCTCCTAGGCCTGGTCATCAAAACTGACTGCCAGGCAACCTCCCGCGTCGTGGAGTAGCTTGGGAGTTCCAGCTGCCAGTGGTGGCTGCCAGTGCCTTCACTCCCTCTGGAGCAGGAAACTCCTACTTAGTTTATCAACTGTAACTGCCAGCAGGCATTCTGCTGTGGACAGGAGCCTTAAAAATGCAATAACAGAACAGGAACTGGCAGAGGCCTCCCCCACTTAATTGAATCAGAGCTTTCTGGGAATTCGCTACTTTGACTCCAGACCGCAGACAAGCTTCACCTTCTCTTCCATTCAGGCCCCTAACTGAATCAAGTCTTGTAATTACACCTGGAGCTGTGCCAGACTCCATCTGTATCTTACAGTGGGGACTTAAATAAGGGAAGCAGCTTCCCTTCCATTGGCCAGGACCTCTTGACAAACTGACCATTCACTATCACCAACTCTTATGATATTATAGTGGTCATCAATAGCAAACTATTTCGGAATAAGGTGGCATTCTAGGATTTCCTGACGACCAAAGTTTAGCAAACCATCTATGACTCTCAGGGGAATTCTCAGTTCATGTCAGGTATAAACATATAGGCATTTTGTTTTACCTCCATCAGAATCAGCTGGAGAGAAAATAAAATCTTTCCTGCTTTATCATTCAGACCAAATTTCAATAAAAATTCTTATGGGAAATTGGGGAAAACATCTCAGCCTGCAAAATGGATTTTAAATAAAGATAACTTATCTTTATCATTAGTATGCATGCTAATGTATACTTACAAAATTGTAGTTTTGAATCTCCATCATTTTACTTTATTCTGACTCTGTTAAAGAACAAAGAGCTATTCTTCTTAGGATCACCAGGGAATGATGAAATGTCTCTGCCCAGTTTGAGAGCTTGCAGGGAGGCAGTCCCTTGAACAATGTGTATGGGAGCAGATGCCAGTTATCAGTGGCCCTTTCATGCACATGGTATTAGGAAGAGCACTTTCACCCTCCCCCTCTCCACATCCTCAAGTAAACGGTCATAAATGTACACCACTGTGAGGGTATAACTCAATCTCTAAAAGTTTTGTGACCAGATGTATAATTAGTTGCATTTGTCCTCCACCTAAGGAAAATAGGCCTGAGCCTCTCAGAGGGTTGCCCCATCTAAAGGACCCGGAAACTTTCCTTTGTCCTATTTACCCCCATTGTCAGAACTGGATACAAATCATGCCTAAGGATTCCAGTTAACGTGGAGCCTGCCTGTCTGGTAACTAACTCGAGCCACTTCCAAGGAGAAGGTAGTAGAGCTGGAGGCTCACACGGTCCACTTGAACATAGACCTCCACAAGAGCTTGGCTTGCAATCTGAGATTGGCATCATTGATGTCTTGTACCACTGGATTGATCCAAGAGCCACCCTCTCCCATCCCTATTCCAATTCTTCTTTCATCATGTACTAATTTCTTATCTACGCCCAGTTAATACTTGGCCTTAGCAGATGAGCCACCCCCTGCCTTCTCCTTCCTTCTCCACCGAGGCCCAGTGCCTTTTCCCCTCAGTTCATGCAGTGAAAAGGGAGTATGCTCACACATCTTTCAAGCTTGTGTCTGACACAGCCCAGAGAAGTAGAAAAAACACACAGGTGTAGTTTCAGACCTCGAGGAAATTCTCACTCTCTCACAACCCGACAGCTACACCTTTGGAAAGACAATCTCCCTGCATATAGGGGTGTTTCATTGTGGTTGGGTTGGTTGATTTCTAACAAAACTCATACTAATAGAAGTCATGTGTACATCAAAAGTATTGAATTAAGAAAAGAAGTCATTCTCCAAGGGGCTGCTCCTAATTATATTTTGCATTTTAACATTGACGATCCCTAGTCTTTGTTTCGGGCCTTCTATTTAGAACAGCGGTTTTCAATCTTGGCTGTACATTACAATCACCTGGGGAGCATTTAAAACCCACTATGCCCTGGCCACATGACAGACCAATTAAATCAGACCCTCTGAAGGTGAGACCCAGGCATCAGTAGTTTTCACAGCCCCCAGGTGACTGCAACGTGCAGCCATGGTTAAGGCCCGCTAGATTAGAAGGCCCTTCCTTAACTGGCTTTAACTGTTTTGATTTCAGGAATTTTACATACGCTGCAGTATATTTTCTTCATATAAAAATTATATTAAGTATACTCTGCTAGAGGAATTAGATATATAAAAGTTAAGGATGACTATTTCCATCAAAATGAAGTAAAACGTAAGCATTCTTTTTTTTCTCTGGAGAACCCAGACTAATACAGCGACTGTATTACTTGGTTCTCATGCTGCTACGAAGAAATACCCAAGACTGGGTAATTTATAAAGGAAAGAGGTTTAATTGACTCACAGTTCCATATGGCTGGGAAGGCCTCAGGAAACTTACAATCATGGCGGAATGGGAAGTAAATACGTCCTTGTTCACATAGCAGCAGGAGAGAGAAGTGCCAAGCAAAGGGGGAGAAGCCCCTTACAAAACCATCAGATCTCGTGAGAACTCACTCACTGTCATGAGAACAGTAAGGGGGTAACTACCCTCATGATTCAATCACCTCCCACTGGTTCCCTCCCACAACACATGAGGATTATGGGAACAAACAGAAAAGAAAAAAAGGTAAAAAAAAAAAAAGAATTCAAAGTGAGATTTGGGTGGGGACATGGCAAAATCGTATCAGTGATCAGGTGTCCTAATTTGTAAAATAAGGAAATAACATCAGTTGATCATCAAGATCCCTTTTATTTGTATAGTCAATGACATTTGAATAATGACTGCACCTCTGATTCAAACCACTTCTTTGGAAAAACCTTTGAACTAGAAGTTCAGTGTTTTACCAACTAGTAACTGTGTCTTTGAATAAATTACCAGCATCCTCTGATCCTTAGTTTCCAAGCGAAACACATATCTATTATTAACAAGCCCACTTATATAGCACTAGGGCTTTCCAGAATCATGCCCTTTTGATATATAGATCTACTTTACACTTGCCACTCTTTTTTTTACCTTTTCTTAAATTATTTAAAACCTATAGATTTTAAATATAGACCTGGCAAAATGAACTTTGTTATAATTTAGAAGTTTGGAAATAAGAATAAATGCTATGGTTAAAGCTAGCATTGTGACTGGGTTTTAGCAATATATTGTGAAAGGATAGATGGATTATTCCTTCTTGGATTCCCCTTCCAGTCCCTTAATGCCTGTATGTGTATATATATATATATATATATATATTTTTTTTTTTTTTTTTTTTTTTTTTGAGATGGAGTCTTGCTCTGTCGCTCAGGCTGGAGTGCCGTGGCACGATCTCAGCTCACTGCAAGCTCTGCCTCCCGGGTTCGTACCATTCTCCTGCCTCAGCCTCCCAAGTAGGTGGGACTATAGGCACCCGCCACCACGCCCGGCTATTTTTTTTTGTATTTTTAGCAGAGACGGTGTTTCACCATGTTAGCCAGGATGGTCTCGATCTCCTGACCTTGTGATCTGCCCGCCTCAGCCTCCCAAAGTGCTGGGATTACAGGTGTGAGCCACTGAGCCCGGCCAATGCCTATATATTCTTTTAAAACAAAAACATACAAAAAAAAAAAAAAACACCCAGCTCAGGCCTGCTCACCAAATTATGGAGTTGCACATGGATTGTCCCAGTCTATGTTGTAGCAGTTGAACTATTAAGACCCACTGTTCAAAGAGTTGCTTCTCTCTTGATCCATGCAGGAAAGATCCAGTTTTTCCAGAGGTCTGTGGACTGCTGGGACAACTCCCACCTCCCTTCTCTGCCTCACATCCGTCTTAAGAAGTTATAACCCTTTACTTCCATACTGGGCTAAGAATCCTTCTTTTCTTTTCTGTTGGGTTTTTACTCATTCAATCAATTGCCTATTGAGTGTCCTGTGGCAAGCACTGGTCAGAGTGCTTGACATACATCAGTGAATAAAACAAAGCAAGACCCCTGCTCTTGTGGATCTTACATCCTTGTGAGGGAGAGACAGACAACCTACATAACACATCAATAAATTATACAGCATACCAGAAGGTGGTAAGTGCTAGGGAAGAAACAAAATGTAGAACAAATTTAGAAGGACTAGGAATGCAGGAGGGAGTTGGTCGGGGCCAGAAAGGAATGTGATTTCATATAGGGCAGTGGTCCCCAACCTTTTTGGTACCAGGGACCAGGTTTATGGAAGACAATTTTTCCATAGACAGGGGTTGAGGGGGATGATTTAGGAATGAAACTGTTCCACCTCAGATCATCAAGCATTAATTAGACTCTCATAAGGAGCACCCAGCCTAGATCCCTCGCATGTCCAGTTCACAATAGGGTTCGCACTGCTGTGAGAGTCTAGTGCCATCGCTGATCTGACGGGAGATGGAGCTCGGGTGGTAATGCTCACTCACCCGTTGCTCACCTCCTGCTGTGCAGCCTGTTCCTAACGGCCCATGGACCGGTACCGGTCTGTGGCCCGGGACTTGGGGACCCCTGATATAGGGGACCTTGTTCCAGGTCTCCAGTCAGTCCTATAATTAAGTGACCAACCTGGCCACCCAAACTAGTTACACAGATCTCACACATTACCATAGGCTGAATATCCCTTATCTGAAATGCTTGGGATGAGAACTGTTTTGGATTTTGGAATATCTGCATATATACAATGAGATATCTTGGGGATGGGACCCAAGTATAAAAATAAAATACATATACATTTTGTATACATAGGCTGAAGATAACTTTATACAGTATTTTTAAATAATTTTGTTCATACAACAAAGTTTGTGTCCTTTGAATCACTGGAAAGTAAAGGAAGCAAGCGTGGAATTTTCCACTTGTGGCAACATGTCGGGGCCCAAAACCTTTCCAATTCTGAAGCATTTCAGATTTCAGAGCTTTGAATTAGGGATGCTCAACCCGTATGTGTTTTAAACCATAAAGCAGTATAAAAATAGCGGGATCTATTATAATAATCATCATTAGTCCGAGCCTAACTTCAGCTTATGAATAAAGGCATAAAGAATAAGTGGAGACTCTTCCTCATTTACTCTCTCCCTCTCACACACACACACACACACACCCCATGTACACACACACACAGCCACACACCACATACACACCACAAACACACATACACACACACCACACACCCCACACACAGCCTACACATACACACCCACACACCACATACACACATACACACACACAGGGGGCATACCACACACACACCACATACACACACACCACACACACACACACTACACACACACCACACACCCCACACACACCCTACACATACACACCCACACACCACATACACACATGCACACACACCATACACACATACACACCACACATACACACATACACACCACACATAGACACACACACCACATACACACACACACCACACACACACACTGTAGACACACATACACACACACACACACGGACTTCTTTTGTTATTGTTGAGACTGGGTCTTACACTGTCACACAAGCAGGAGTGCAGTAATGCGACCATAGCTCACTGTAGCCTCCAACTCCTGAGTTCAAGCAACACTCCCACCTCAGCCTCTTGAGTAGCTGGGACTACAGATGTGCACCACCACGCCCAGCTAATTTTGTTGCTGTTGTTGTTGTTGTAGAGATGGGGTATTTCTGTGTTACTCAGGCTGGTCTCAAACTCCTGGCCTCAAGCAATCCTCCCACCTCAGCATCCCAAAGTGCTGGGATTATAGGTATGAGCCACCACACTGGGCCACACCAGACTTCTTTACCCAAAGTATTTTTTCAAAGCTACATGTCACCTTTGAGGAAGCAATTTTGTGCATTTTCTGCTTCCTCTATTCAAAAACCTTTGACCTCATCCTCATCCCTTCTGAGGCCAACGTCTCTGCATTTAGTTGGCCTTTGACCAAGAATGCAAAACCACTTTCCTATTATACTACACTAGTAGAGTGAGGAAGTGTCTATGGCCTTCGAAAACCAAGCTACAATTTCTTTTATATCCCGTTCTTTCATATAAACTTCAACAGGACTTCTGCTCAATTTGAACGGGTAAATGGGAATTGGGAATATTTAGGATTTTTTTTCATAACATGCAAGGAATACGTTCGATCATTTTTCCATCTCTAAACTACTAGTGATTATTGCCATAAGCATTGTGCTTCTCTGTTGTGATGCAGCTGAGTTCTAAGATGATGTTTCTTTCACCTGATAGGTTAGGGTTGCCATTATTTCCTGGAACATCTGATTGCTCAGCTGATTGTTCAGACATGTTTTCACTGAAACTCCTGATGGCTCAGACCCCTAGTTCAGATCTCTAGTTCTCTCAGCATACTTGCTTTTTAGTGCATTTTAAACTTTAGAGACTTTGAACTTTCCCTTCCTTTTGAAGTGGCCATAACCTGTTATATGTAACAACATTGATGCTGACATGGATAAAGAATTAGCCCTGAGGCTGGTAAAAGTCCTGGAGTTCCAAAATCACCACTAATAAGACTTCTCTGCAGTTAAACGGTGATAACAAACAGCAATCGCTTATCCACATCCATTATACAGCAGAAGGCCCGCTGCTTTATTGACTGACAGAAAACAGTTTCCATTTCATGAAACAATAAAAATTAAATTGAGTGTAAACTCTCCCAAGGTCACTGCCTCTAACCTTATAACATCAGAAATGAGGGCTGTAAACCCCACCGTGAACCATGTGATCCGGAAGAAGCCAGAGTCGATTCCTGGGCTCCGTGTGCAGCACCCCGTGGGCACTTGGCTGTGCGTGGCCTCCCACGTTTCTTCTTGTCAGGTCATGGCTGGAACGCTCTTCCTCCCCACATCTGGCAGATGCCTTCTTGACGGCAACTGCTGCCTGCCCAGCCCACCGAGTAATGCAGCGTGTGTCCATGTCATGCTGAGGGTCATCCTGCCAACCTGCACTGCTGTTGGCATAAGGAGTCGTCACTCCTGGTATGAACTGCCCCATCAGCATAATCGCCACCCTCCAGGATTTCCTTGGCCTCTCGTTCTTGTCTGGGTTACCCTGTGGATCTCCTAGGGAGAACTCAGTACAATTTTAACAGCTAAGAAATTTATAGCCACAAGTTTCTCAATTGCAAAGACCCATCTTCTCTGCATAGGTATCATAGAGCAAATATTGAGTGAAAGCTGAGATGAAAAGGGAAATTAAAAGTTTATCCCAACTCCCTTCTTCCCACCATAAATGTCCCAAAACTGTCCCAGTTAAAAGTATCAGAATTATAAAAACATGAGAAAATGTTCCAATAAAATAAGTAAATTCAATGAAATCCCTATCAAAACTATAGCAGGTTATATTGTAGAAATTGACAGGCTGATCCTGTATATTTTCTTAATGTAAAGGACCTAAAACAGCCAGAACAATTTTGAAAGGTTAGAAAAAAGTTGTAAGATTTGTACTACCCCATTTCACAATGATGATAAATTCACAGAAACAACAGAGGATGGTACTGGCATAAGGCTAGGAACATAGATCAAGAGAAGCTAGAAATAAGCCTTTACATTAATGCCCAGCTGATTTTTTTTTTTTTTTTTTGAGATGGATACATGCTGCAATGGCCAGGCTGGAGTGCAATGGGGCCATCTTGGCTCACTGCAACCTCTGCTTCCTGGGTTCAAGCAATTCTCCTGCCTCAGCCTTCTGAGTAGCTGAGACTACAGGCACGTGCCACCACACCTGGCTAATTTTTATATTTTTAGTAGAGACAGGGTTTCACCATATTGGCCAGGCTGGTCTCGAACTCCTGACCTCAAGCGATCTGCCCACCTCGGCCTTCCAAAGCGCTGGGATTACGGGCATGAGCCACCACGCCCAGCCCCCCAACTGAGTTTTGACAAAGGTACCAAGGCGTTTCAACAAATGGTGCTGGGATAATTGTATAGCCATATGCAAAAAAAAAATGAACAGAGACCCAAAAACATACCATATGTAAAAAATAATTCAAAATCACTTATACATCTTACTATAAAATCTAACTCTATAAAATGTCTACAATAAAACATAAGAAAAAATTACAGTGACCCTGGGTTGGGCAAAAATTTCTGATATAACACCAAATGCATGATCCATCACAGAAAAAAATAATTGTGCTTCATTGAAATTAAAAACTTCTGCACTTCAAAAGATAGTGCTAAGAAAATGAAAAAACAAGTCACAAACTGGGAAAAAAATAATTGCAAATCAGTTCTCATATAAGAATTGCATCCAGAATAAAGAATTATAATTCAATAATAAGAAAACAATTCAATTTTTATATGGATAAAAGATTTGAACAGACATTTCACAAGACATCTGAATGGTTAATGAGCACATACAAAGATGCTTCATATTCTTACTCTTTAAAGAAATGCAAATTCAAACCCCACTGAGAACCACTACACATGCTGGAATGGCCATTATCAAAAAATAGAAAAAAACAAGTGTTGACAAGGATATAGAGAAACTTGAGCCTTCGTACATTGCTGGTGGGAATGTAAAATGGGGTAGCCACTTTGGAAAACAGTCTGGCAATTTCTTAAAAAGTTAAACAAATTTACTATAGAACCCAGCAATTCAACCCCTAGAATTTTACCCAATAGAAATGAAAATATGTGTCCATACAAACACATGTACATGAATGTTCATAGCAACAGTATTCATAATAACCAAAAACAGGTGAATGGGTAAGCAAAATGTGTCATATCCAAACAGTGGAATACTATTCTGCAATAAAAATGAGGACAAGCACTGTGACTCATGTCTGTAATCCCAACACTTTGAGAGGTCAAGGAGGGAGGATCGCTTGAGCCCAGGAGTTCAAGACCAGCCTGGGCAACATAGAGGGAACCCATCCCTACAAAAAATTTAAAAATTAGCCAGGCCTGGTGGCATGCCTGTAATTGCAACTGCTTGGGAGGCTGAGGTGGGAGGATCACTCGAGCCCAGGAGGTAGAGGCTGCAGCGAGTCCTCATCTTACTACTGCACTCCAGCCTGGGCAACAGAGTGAGACTCTGTCTCAAAAAATAAAAAATAAATAAATAAAATAAAATAAAATAAAATAAACTACCGATCCACGCTACAACATGGATGATTCTCAAAAACATAAGCTAAGCAAATGAAGCCAGACACAAAAGCTACATTTATCTAAAATGTCCAAAAAAGGCAAATTTGTAGACACTAAAAGCACATCAGTGGTTATCTAGGGCTGAGTGTGGTTGCAATGGGCAGGAGGTTACACTTGGAGGAGGGAACTTGTCCCAAACTGGATTGTGGTGATGTTTGCACAAGTTTAAACAAACACTTACTAAAAATAATTGAATTGTACATTTACGATTGTGGATATTGTGGTGCGTAAATTATATATATATATATATTTTTTTTTTTTTTTTTTTTTGAGGCAGAGTCTTGCTCTGTTGCCCAGGCTGGAGTGCAGTGGTGCAATCTCAGCTCACTACAACCTCTGCCTCCGGGGTTCAAGTGATTCTCCTGCCTCAGCCTCCCAAGTAGCTGGGATTACAAGTGTTTGCCACAGTGCCCAGCTAATTTTTGTATTTTTAGTAGAGATGGGGTTTGGCCATTTTGGCCAGGCTAGTATCCAACTCCTAACCTCAGGTGCTCCACCTGCCTCGTCCTCCCAAAGTGCTTGGATTACAGGCATGAGCCACCGCTCCCAGCCTGTAAATCATATTTTAATAAAATTGTTTAATGAAAATCAAGATCTAAAATCTCAATATGTGCTATATCTCAAATATTATATTAAGTATAAATATGTGTTCCAAAAATAATAGAAGAGAATACTTCTAACATATTAACAGTTGTTACCTCTCTTTCATGGACTATTGAATGACTTTTGTTTGCTTGGTTATATTCATCTGTGTTTTTCAAATACTCAGTAATAAACATGTATTGCTTTTGTAATCGGAAAAATCAATGCTTATTTGTTTGTTTTTTATGGAAGACATCCCTAGTAAAAGTAATATCAGGAAGTAGGAATGTTACAATTTCCTGTAAACATGTCTAGTATCTGGTAACTAACCCGATGTTTGTGGTCAGTCCTACACCTTGGTATAATACCAGTCCCTCAAAATATTTTAAGAATCAATTTGCCATTCGTGCCACTCACTCCGCTGCAAAGTAAAATCTATTCATGTGAAATCTGCCCCCGCCGGCCCATCTGCCCGCCTTGCATCTCCAGGCCCCACTCTTGAGAGCTCACCCACTGCTCACTCCGCCCCTCCTGGATGCCAGGATGGAGGGAAGAGGCAGTAAATCAAAAGGAGACTTTGCTGATCTCCCTGGTCAGGGCTCCAGGAGGAGCCGGGGGCAGGAGGGACAGGTTGGGGCGATTGCAGCCCCTGTTGAACAAGAGCACACCTGATTGCTGCCAGAGGGACTCAGGCAATCCCTCTGACGCCCTGGGAGCAGGGAGGTGGCCAGGCCGCTGCACCCACACTGCATCAGCCCTGCACCTGCGCTGCACCCCCGCTGCACCCGCCCTGCACCCACGCTGCACCTGCCCTGCACCCGCACTGCACCCACCCTGCATCACCCCTGCACCCGCGTTGCACCGGCTCTGCACCCGCGCTGCACCCGCCCTGCACCCGCACTGCACCCACCCTGCATCAGCCCTGCACCCGCGCTGCACCCCCGCTGCACCCGCCCTGCACCCACCCAGCATCAGCCCTGCACCCGCGCTGCACCCGCCCTGCACCCGCGCTGCACCCCCGCTGCACTCGCCCTGCACCCCCGCTTCACGAGCTCTCGCCGCTCATTACTCCGGCAGCCTCCACCTCCCTCTCGCCCTCCCGCAGCGCCTGGTGCCTTCCTTCCCCAATCCTAAAACCAGTGCTTTCCCCATGGCCTCTAGGGAGGCCGAACAGTGCAGAGTGTGCGCTCTGCCCTGCGAGGCCAATCAGAAGCTGATTCTGCAAACGCCGGGCGCGGCAGGGCTCCCCCGACCCCCGCCCTGCTGCTCCGATGGCCCTGCGGTCCCGTTCGCTGCTGGCTTCTCTCGTCACAGCCTCAGCTCTGCACGGACAGGCTGCGTACAACTTCAGCTTCCTGAGCTCCAACACTGATCACCACGGCAGAATATCAAAGACCAGACTGTATTTCAAGCCAAGCATCGATTTTTAACGCTTTGGGAAAACATTGTACCTTTGGCTGATCCTGTTTTAGTTCTTGGTGTGACTGGAAGGTAAAGGGCCTCGACTGGCAGGAGGCTTGGCCAGATCCGGCAGAGGAGGCACCCCTGCAGGCTTCAGCCCAGCGGCCTCTGCTGGCCTACTGTCTTGGCGCGATGCCAGCAACGGAATTTAATACCCGTCCCCAAACCAAGTGCTAAAATAAATAGACTGGGCCGTTTTCAAAGGAAAATGGTCACCTCCACAAAAACTGAATGCACGTAAATTGCTCATTCCTGGGAGAAGGGAGTACCGGAAGCCAAAGTACACTTTTTATGACAGACTTGCAGATAAAATAAAACTTTACCAGTCTCTAATTTTTTTTTTTTTTTTACTATTTTACTTTTTTCATAGGCTCGCAGTACTGTAAAAATGTTCCAGATAAAATTGGAATTACTACTAATTCACAGTGATTGATTGCTACCTTGAACACAGGGACGGGGACAAGAGAACAGAACACGTGGTATTGTTTGTACTTACACGGTTTGAGATCCAAGGGGAAGCCACAACATATATCCCCAAGAGGGACAAGCACTCCAACACCATGAATACTTTGCAAACAAATAAAGAGAGTTTATGGATAAAAGTGTAAAAGCATCACCATAATGTCATGGGAAGAATACGGAACGAGGCTCTATAAAAACCTTCATGCAAAACCTTGAATGTCCACTTTCTACTCACGTACCCTTGACCAAGTCCTCACCTGTAAAGCGATATACCCCTTTTTCCTTCCAAGACATATGGTGGTGTTGTAAGGACCAAGTGATGTAATATAATGCAAATATTTGGGTTACTAAAAAGCGTCATACAGATGTATAACATTTTATTTTGAATATACTTTTCACAGGAATTTTTCAAAAGCACACAAAAAGAAGAAAAATCTTGTAAGTATTATATGCTGCATTTCTTCAGTGCCTTGCCTGGTATTAAAAGATCTAGTGATTTATTAATGCTGATGAAGATTTAATGTAGGATTTTCATATTAAAACATTAAACTTTTGTAAATGAAGGCATATTTCAAAAGAAAAGAACCTAGGAGTGTTTGTATGCTAATAACAGACATTCTGAGCTACGTCTGTTCATTAAAATCAAATTTTCCAAGGCAACAAGCTGGGGATTCTTTATTTATTTGTAGGTTCTTAGTACTAAGAACTATCTGAACGTTTTCATTAGAATAATGTTTGAGCGTTAATATGGCCAAGATCTCCTAATTTGTTAACTAGGAATAATACGCTAAAAGAAAGCTGCTCTGATCCTACAATTTATTCAGTGGATTTCTCACACCACCCTTGGAAGGAGTCTTCATTTTAAATTAAGAGTGGATTGAAAAACAACAATTGAAATCAATCTGCCTCAAATGGTCACATCTTTAAACTTTTCTGAGACCAAAAAAAAATAATTATTACCTCTCGCTTTTTCCTTCATGAGAGATTTTGACACTTTAGACATGACTTGTCATTGACATCAATAGTGCAAGGCCCATCTATAATCAAAGTTATGAATGGCGGCAATTCATTTTTATATTCTCAAGTTTTAAAAATTGTTCTCCTTCTTCTTACATCTAGCCACTACTCACAGCTGGCACTCTAATATTTTCTAGCCTTCTTGGCCTCACCCACTGATTCACACAAATCCTCTTAAAATGCTGTTGGGCATCCCGATAGTTGCATGGGAAAAGAAGGGGCCAGACAAGGTCATGCTTGGCATGAACAATGAGGACAATAGCATTTCAGTCATGAGCAGGAGAGGACCGTTAAGGCGCAGGGAGAGTTGCAGCTCTCCGATGACAATGACACTATGCAGCCACATGTCTGAGGTCCCCCTAAACGGCCACTAACTAATCTGGTGATGGTGAGAAAAGGCGTCCAGGTCTTAGTTTGCTCATCTGCAAAAACATCTAATATTTGGGGGTGAGAGAATCCACAACTTGATCCAGTTATGCAATTTATCATTGTAGAAAGAGCAGTAAGACTAAGGTGAAGTTTTAGTCAATTTATACGAGTTTTTCCATATTGAGGCAACCCACACTTGGTCTATTAAATTGGTGTCAAATACTTTCTCACTTTTTGTTTGGTTTTTTAATCCATTTAGTATATTACTCCGATGTTGTTTTATTTTATTTCTAACTCAAAATATCCTTGAATTCATGGAAAACAAATGAGTTTGGGGAAATAATTGGCAAAATAGCTCAGTATGCTTTCAGATTTTCTCCCACCAAAAGTATCTCTGTCCTTGGCACTTTATGCTAAAACATGTTGAACTCATTGAAGCAGGATGAATGGCATTCATTTCTTAACCCATATCGTAAATAATGCATCATGGTGTGAGGTTCAGGGAAACAATTCTTGGGAGGGGGGATTATATAAGTTTCCATTTCAAAGTGAAACATCCCCAACTCTATGAGAAAATGTCTGAGCAATAAGAATATAAAGCTGGCAAGGTTGGGTGTTTGTGTTTAAGGTATAAGTTTCATCTCTTCACAAAAGACAAATTTCTTTTCCGTTTAGCTTTGTCATGGCAGTAAAACATTCTCTAAAACAATAAGCCATGGGACTGGCTGCTTCCCTTTTCCTCAAAGAAACAATGAATTCATAGACTATAAACGTATTCTGTTATATAGATAATTTTAAAGGACTGAAAGCTATGGTGAATCCCCTTGTCTGATTATTGTCTCACACACTCTGGAGAAACTCAGAAAGGCAAAGTACACAGGCAATCTCCTCCCCACACACCACCCGACCCCAAAATCAACACAGCCACCCACATAGGCACACATGAACACGCCTTCCTAGAGGAGAAAGCCTTTTCCAGGAAAAGGAATCAGTAAGAGCTCTGCTGACCACATCCTGGGTTTGGGATCACCTTTGCAAAGGGAAAGACTTTGCCAAAGAAATAACATGAATTTTAAATGTCTCAAATGCTTTTAAAATTAAATGTTTGGATTTTTTAAAAATTGCCATTCTCTGGCACCTCCACAGAATAGATTAGTGGTAAGTAAAAATCATTTTGTGAAATAATGTGGCAAAAATACGTAACAGTCGAGGGCAGCTCCTATCCTTGCTCATAGTCAAGGGCAGACGCAACACAGAGTCAGGCAGGAGAGCAAATGTGGTGAAAGACCAGAAAGACACAAGCACTCAAAGGATAGGCCCTGTGGCTCCTAGATTAGAAGTCTGACTTTTCAAGACCATGAAAGGTGATGGGATAACTAACTGTTCTGTAATTTTCATATGGATTTCATAAATAGGCTTTTCCAGAATTGCAGCAGAAGGGAGTTGGTGTGGACCCAGAGAATATGTTACCAGAAAGAGTGCTGCTGACGCCAGAGCACAGGCGAAGAGCCTCGGGGAGGCCACCCCACACTGGAGACCCGGCAACGTTGAATGGACACAGAACTTGTTGACAGTTTCATTATAATCACTCAGGGAACTAAACAGGCACTCCTTTTCTTGTAGCAAAAAATAGAAAAATGCTTGGGCACGGTGGCTCCTGACTATAATCCCAGCACTTTTGCGAGTCCAGGGCAGGAAGATCACTTGAGTCCAGGAATTTGAGATCAGCCTGGACAACATAGTGAGACCCCATCTCTACAAAAAAAAATTGTTTTAAAATTAACTGTGCATGGTGGCACACGGCTGTGGTCCTAGCTACCCAGAAGGCTGAGGTGAGAGCCTGGTTCAGCCTGGGAGGTCGAGTCTGCAGTGAGTTCTGATGGTGCCACTGCCTTTCACTCCAGCCTGGGTGACAACATGAGACCCTAGCTCTACAAAAAAAAAAAAAAAAGTGGAAATAGCCTAGAAAAATCTATTTTTTCCCTCCTTTCATAGGTTTCCCTTACAAAGAATTTTGGGTTTTATTTTTATAAAATAAAAATAAAAGTTTTATTTTTATAAAATAAAAATAAAAGTTTTATTTTTATAAAATAAAAATAAAAGTTTTATTTTTATAAAATAAAAATAAAAGTTTTATTTTTATAAAATGAAAATAAAAGTTTTATTTTTATAAAATGAAAATAAAAGTTTTATTTTTATAAAATGAAAATAAAACTTTTATTTTTATAAAATAAAAATAAAAGTTTTATTTTTAAAAATAAAAGTTTTATTTTTAAAAATAAAAGTTTTATTTTTATAAAATAAAAATAAAAGTTTTATTTTTATAAAATAAAAATAAAAGTTTTATTTTAATTTCCTTTTTTTTTTTTTGGAGACAGATGTCACTCTGTCACCCAGGCTGGAGTGCAGTGGCACGATCTCAGCTCACTGCAACCTCTGCCTCTTGGATTCAAGAGGTTCTCCTCCTCAACCTCCCGAGTAGCTGGGATTACAGGCATGTGCCACCACGCCTGGCTAATTTCTGTATTTTTAGTAGACATGGGGTTTCACCATGTTCACCAGGCTGGTCTCGAACTCCTGACCTCAAGTGATCTGCCCGCCTCGGCCTCCCAGAGTGCTGGGATTACAAGCATGTGCCACCACGCCCGGCCTAATTTCTATTTTAATTTCAATAGTTTTGGGGGGTATAGGTGGTTTTTTGTTATGTGAATAAGTTTTTCAGTGGTGATCTCTGAGATTTTGGTGCACCCGTCACCCAAGCAGTGTACACTGTACCGAAAATGTAGTCTTTTATCCCTCACCCCATCCTATCCTTTCCCCACAAGTCCCCAAAATCCATTATATCATTCTTATGCCTTTGCATCCTTATAGCTTAGCCGCCTCTTATAAGTGAGAACATACCATGCTTGGTTTTCCACTCCTGAGTTACTTCACTTGGAATAATGGCTTTGTTTTTTGGTTTTTGTTGCTGTTGTTGTTGTTTTTAAGGAGACAACTGCAGCTGCCCAAGGGGCCACCAACTCGCTGTTCATTTTGTCAAGTCTGCTCACGCAACTGGAATTTGTTCAAAAATCATCAAGTCAGGTTAAAATTTAGGACCGTCTGGAACAGAACGTCCTCCTACATTTGAGACTAGAGAATGGGACAAACTTGTTTCTCTTTCTGCCTTACTTTCTATTCCCTTGGATCCCGGCCATCGCATCATAGAGGCCTCGGTGGGTGACTGATTTGACAAGTAGCTTATGAGTGCAGCCCTGATTTTTTTTAAAATCCCAGGCTCTGTAAAACCAGGCTCTCCTTTTTCATCTTTTCTTGACATTTTGCTCCTAAAATTAGCTTTTTGATGAGAAAATTGCAGTGAGTCATACCAAAGCCAGCTAAAGGTGAGACAAATGCCTGAGATTGAAATTGAGTTGATTCTACTTTGCTGTGCTGATTATGCCTGGTAATTGGACATTGGAATTAGAACTGCCCTGACCTTTCACAAGAAGAATGAAAAAAGCTCTGTTCAATTTGCTGGACTTTTTTTCTATATGTAAAGCATTTTTGTTGAATGGAGTAATTTACTCTTATTTTTAAATGAGCACCACCAAGAAGCCTGATTCTCACGTTGCTCTGTACATTTATTCAATAATTCTAGTTCTTCAATCAATAAAAACCAATCTTTTTCTCACTTTCCTGTCATCTCTTGCTCTGCTCCCAATTTCCTGCCCACCTCCCCTTCCCACGTCCTCTGTTTATGGAAGTTACTAGAGCCAGCCTGGTGCATGGGAAGCAGGACTTACCTTCCCACCTGTTGATGGTTTTCGGCCACCCACTGAGAGGCCCCCAATTTTTAGAGTTACTCCACCTAGTGACATTTCTTCAGTGGCATATTCAGATATATTGTTTAGAGCTATTGTTTTAAAATGGGGTGAGAGAGGAGACACGGAGTTCCAGCTTCCGATTATGCACCAAAAACAAGAACGGGGCTATGATTTCTTTCTCCAAAGCACATTTCACTGATGTTATGGAACTCATCTTTTTTGTTTCTGCATTTAATCATTTAACAAATATTTATTGACTGGTGCTATATGGTCAGCCATATCCAGGTACTTAAATAAGACATAATATTGCTCAAAACAGGAAAACAAACAAACAAACTCCTGGCCCTCATGGGGCTTGTATTCCAGGAGTAGAGACAAGCAATAGTAAACATGAGTGAAATATATTAATAAAAATAAGTTAAAAATTTGTTTAAATGCAAAATATGTAATATGTGAGAAGGTGCTAAAAGCAATGAAGAAAAAAATAAAAAACATGGAAAAATAAACTGAAAGCTTTCAGCAGGAAGACCAGGAATTCATTTTGAACATGACACGATTTAGACACGTTAGACGAGTGGAGATCACCCGAGCAGAGATCCTAGTAGGCAGCTGGATAAGCATGTATGAAAATCAAGAGATAGACCTGGACTTAAATTATAAACTTGGGAGTCATTTTCAGAAAGATTATATTTAAATCCGTGAGACTGTATCGCAGCAGCAAGAAGGAGCACAGATTTTAAAAAAGGGAAGCCCAAGGATTGAGCCAAAAGTACTTCAACATTTAGAGGCCAGAGAGATGAAGAAAAAGACAGTACTAGGAAAACCGAAATGTTTCCCAAGGCAGCAGGTAAGTCAGCTGCGCTAATTAACACTGACAAATCAAATCAAATTTTTTTTTTTTTTTTGAGACAGAGTCTCGCTCTGTTGCCCAGACTGGAGTGCAATGGTGCGATCTCGGCTCACTGCAAGCCCCGCCTCCTGGGTTCAAGCAATTCACCCTGCCTCTGCCTCCTGAGTAGCTGGGACTACAGGCGCCCACCACCACACTCGGCTAATTTTTGTATTTTTTTAGTAGAGACGGAGTTTTGGCATGTTGGCCAGGCTAGTCTTGAACCCCTGACCTCGGGTGATCCACCCATCTCAGCCTCCCAAAGTGCTGGGATTACAGGCCTGAGCCACTGCGCCCAGCCTCTCAAATTTGATAAAGAAAGGAAGTTGGCTGGTGGCCTTATCCACACAGAAGTCATTGATGAAAACAATATTCAAGTAGGAATGCAACTCTGACTACCTGTTACACATATGGAGATGGAATCGCATCCAAGCCTCCGTGGTGATTAGGACAGAACAGTGGTTAAGGCAATGGGCTTTGGAGTCAGGCAGCCCTGGGTTCACATCCCAGCAGCCTCCTTCCTTCTGAGTTGCAGGACTCCAGATAAGTCCCGTAAATTCAGTGTAATCTTACTTCTTCCTTTATAAAATGGGGATGTTGTTAACACCACAATTTAATTGGCCTCTAACTATAGGCCAGGTACAGCTCTAAGTGTCTTATTAGGTTATTCAGTGCTCACTAAAGTAGGAATCATTATTTTAGTCATTTGACACAAGAGAACCCAATACCAGAGACATTAGTGACAGAGACAATGACCCTGGTAGTGTGGTCGGCAGCCTCTGAGGTGTCCTCAGGACCCCCGGCATCCCGCTATTGCCTTCTGTTGAATGTGAGCTGGACCTAGTGCCGCACGTTTAACAAATGAAATGTGGTAAAAGTAATGGGATATCACTTTTAAGATTAGGTTACAAAAAGGCTCTAACTTCTACCTTTCTGACGGTCTTTGTTCACCCTCACTCCCTTTCTCACGCACTCTGGGAGAAGCCAGCTACCATGTTGAGAGCTGCTCAGTGGAGCACCCCATGTGACAAGAAACTGATGTCTCTGGCCAACCTGACCTGAGGCCTGCCAACAGCCACTTGAGTGAGTCTCTCAGTGGATTCTCCCCCTGCTGAGCCGTCAGATGAAGCCAGAGCCCAAGCTGACACTTTGACTGCAGCCTTGTGAGACACCCTGAGCCAGAAGAGGACCCAAGGAAACTACACCTGGATTCCTGAGCCACAGGAATCCTCTCTCTCCAAAACAGTATGCTGTTTTGGGCTGTTAAGTTTTGGGGTAATTTGTTACATAGCAACATAACTGATCGAGGTAGTAAACGGCACGCTGAATTAAAATCCAGACATTTTGATGCCAGAACCTGCCTAAAAAGAGAGAAAGGTATAGAGCAGAGTGCTGTTAAGCTCCTTATGTGATTACAGTTTGGTCATTCTCAATGCATCCTCTCCATTGCCTCTTTAAAGTCCCAATTCAAGACAAGACAGTACTTTGGAGTGAAGGGAATCCAAATTACAATTATCTTCAAGATTCTCTTCTCCAGAGTGATCACAGAGGTGGGCAGTAGCCTCCAACCATTGACAAATGTATATGAATAAGCACAGCCCATGTCCCTGATACTGTTATCAGTGGAGGATGTCCAGGTTCTTGGCGTCTTGAACAAAGAATTGGACAAAACGCACAAACAAAGCAAGGAAAGAATGAAGCAACAAAAGCAGAGATCTATTGAACATGAAAGTACACTCCACAGTGCAGGAGTGGGCCCAAGCACAGAGGCTCAAGGGCCCCGTTACAAAATTGTGGGGGGTTTAAATGCCCTCTAGAGGTTTCCACTGGTTACTTGGTGTTCGCCCTATGTAAATGAAGAGGATGAAGTAAAGTAATAAAGTCATTTACTCAGCCTACGCCTTATGTAACTGGATAGAATATTTCCTGTCATAGCTGAAGTGTGAATCGCCCTTATGTTCCCCGCCTCTATACCCTATTTTCCTGCCTCAGATACCTTCCTCTTCTAATTAGTTAAAAATACCTAAATTTATTTTATCAGGCCCCAGGATTTAATACATATGTATATATGTATATGTATACGTAATACATATATACATATGTATATATGTATATGTATACGTAATACATATATACATATGTATATATGTATATGTATACGTAATACATATATACATATGTATTAAATGTGTGTGTGTATATATATATATATATATATATATATATATATATATATACATATACTTTTCAAAAACACTCGTAGAAAGTTCTTTTAAATATAGGATTTAAGTTTTGAAAATAATCAAAGCCCACTAGCACAAATCACACTATGGACTTCCCCAATGTATGAAATTGAATTTTTAAAAAGTCAACAAAATCAGTCCTGTGGGAATATAAGGGAAGGAGCATTCATAAAAATCATGAAGCTATATCAATCAGTGGCATAGGATCAATGTGCTCTGCATGGAGAATAGTTGAGTACAATAGATTGAGTATAATGCAAAGTACTTTTGTGGGCACCACCTGACTTCCTTCTTTCCTCCCAGAAGCTGCCTTGTGAGTCACTGCCCTACTCCCCCAACCCTGGTACTCGCAGTATTTGAGGCTCATAAAGAATGAGGCCCTGAGCCTCTAAACCAATCGCCCTGATTATTTCTACAAGTAAGCATTCATTTAGTGTCCTCCAAAAGTAATATGTAATGTAGTCTGGGCAAAATTGTATTTTAAATGATCTCTGAATGACCTCCTAATCTAAATTATTCAAACAAGGCAAAACCTCGAGGGGCGTGTGGAAAAGTGGTTACAGAAATAGGAGACTATAATGGCAAAAAAGTAAGAAGTTGTCAAGATGCACTTTTAACATTAGTTTAATTACCATACCAAAATATCTAGAGTTATAGCAAAGCTCAAAACCAGATATTCAGCCCATGTGAAATGCATTAATGCTCAGTTTTAGTTCTCTGATTGAAATACGGAGGTTTTAAAAGAAATGTAAAGCCAATGCAGCTCCAATTTGCTCTAAGGTATCCGCAGCTCTCCCATATGGGATTTTCACTCAAGCAACTTAATTTCCAAATAATCTCATCCAGCATTTGAGTAGACTGTATAAGGTGTTGCACACAGTATACGTTTTAGTGGTTAATAAGAAAGCCCTCAGAATTTATTTTCTGAGTACGAATAAAGATAAAGGGAATACTGTACCATTAAGTAACAATAACAGCAATTTAAAATACTTTTGTTTTGAGAAAAGTGTATTTTAGAATTAAATATTCAAGTGTTTAAAATCAAGCAAGTGCGAAGATTTGGCACAGACTTTTGGCAGTGACTTGGTGTTCAGTGTTATTAAAATGCCTTCAATCCTCATATGAACCCCGGTCTGTTCCAAGCCACAGGCTTCATCCCTAAATTTAAAGTGGAAAGAATGGATCTTAGGCTGGACTAAATGTTAGAGTAAGAGAGAAAAGTAATTAAACTAACAACATGAAAAATAGAAGAAAATATTGTGTATAAATCAAATTAAACTTGTCCTTGAAACGTTTCAGCTACTTAGAATTAGGAAATGCATAGAATCGCCACAAGGGGGTGCTACTGATAAACCAACAACAGCCCTTCCTTGGCCATTCTCATGACTAAATAGTCCTCAAACCTCCAGCCTAGTGCACTATCAAAACCAAGTCAGACAATTCACAGCAGGAGAGGAGAGATTTTAAAACAGAAATGTGTTCAAGAACATAGATCCACAAAACAGAGCTTCAAACAAAAACAAGTTATCAAAGGGCAAACAGAAGAGAATACCAGGCCTTTTCCCTTATCCCTCATCACAGATTTAGTTATTTTAAAAAGCAATCTTTGCTGCTTTTCAAGAGAGCATTAAACTTGAAGTATATTTACTCTTCATTCTCTTTGAGGAACAATCCACTTAAAAACAACTCCGAAGCGGAATATCCCGGGGGAGTCCTTCCTGCGGACCCCCACCACCAACCCAGCCAGCCTCCAATTACATGACCCATCATTTTCATCTAAAAGTGCTGTCTTTTAACATTGCATCCTCAAGGGCTACGTAAAAAAAACCATAAGCAAACAAACAAAAGTCCTTACTCCTGAATGTTTAAAATGCAAATCGAGTTTTGAAATTCTAAGTCTTTGTTGTGCTCAGAATTACTGCCACTTTTTTTAACTTCCCTCAAGTGAAGTCACCAAAGAAAGAATGACTGAAACTTTAGTACTAAAAGTTATTCACAGTTTTATTATTGAGTTTAAAAAGCTTTTCCGGTGAATGGCAATACAAAAACAAAGGTTCTCTCACAGCACTGGGTTTTTGTCTTTTCAATGAAAGCATATTCAATTAGTAAGACCCACAATACCTTAAGATTCAATTATTTTTCAATAATTGTTTTTCATAATGAATCACAAAAGTTGTTTTCTTCCATCTTGCTAGCCTAACCTGCTATGCCCAAACCAACTACAATTTAGCTATTTGGGGTACTTCATTTCTTTTCTTGCTGCTCTGAACTTTAATGGACAAAATGTTAATTAAATAAGAATAAAGCAAAATGCATGACAGGGCCTAGCATGTAGTGGAAGCTAAATAATTATTAGTTCCTTCCCGGTACTCCCAATAGGCATCCTTTTTTGTGTGGAGGAATACATTTTCTTTTGCCTACACATAAGAATGGCTTTATCCATAGATGATGTTACCTAACTGTCTACTTGCTGTGATGGAGAATTCTGGAAGGTTCTCCCATCCGAGGATGCCTTATCGCACTGAGGGACTGCCGATGATGGATAAAGCATGGTTCTTAACTACAACAGCTTAAATAAATCCTGAGCCTGTCAAACACTGAGTCTACGCATAGAGAGTATGTGATCAAATAGGAAACTTAATGGCACAAAGTGATTGCACAACAGCACAGTGTGGAAAGGATGTGGACTTGATAGCGAGACTGATGTAAATTGAGTAACACCCTCCAGAAAGATACGTTCAAGTCCTAACTTCCATGGCTTGTGAGTGTGACATTACTTGGAAATAGGGTCTTTGCAGATGTAATTAAGGATCTCGAGGATGAGATCACTCTGTTTAGAGTGGGCCCTAAATGCATTCCTTATAAACGAAAAGGAGAGGGAGTTTAGGCACAGATCGTCACAGAGGGAGACCTCTGTGAACACAGACACAGAGATGGGTGTGAATCAGCTACAAGGCCAGGAATGCTGAGGCTTGCTGGCAGCCACCAGAAGCTGTTCCAAGAGGGAGAAGCGTGGAACAGATTCTCTCGCTGAGCCACCAGATGGAACCAACCCTGCCAACACCTTGATTTCAGACTTCTGGCCTCCAGCACCGTGAGATGATAAATCTGCTGTATGAAGCCACCTGGATTGTAGTGATTTGTTACCACAGCCTAAGGACACTAACACAAGTGACCTGGGTTCAAATCAATGCTTCCCCAGCCTGTGGCCCAGGGCATCGAACTTTAAATGTCCTCCTCTGTAAACTAGAGTTCCTATTAGCTACCTCGCAGAGAAATCAAAAAAACAGTCAAGACTGCTGTGATCCCCTCCACACCCCTTACAGCCTCTTTGACCAATGGCATGAGACTTAACATCTTGTGTCTCAGTTTCCTCATCCATAAAATGGAGGTGAAAATAGCAGCTACCTCGTAGGCTGGCGTGAGAAGTACCGGAGATGCTGCCCAGAGACCACAGGGGCGGGGCACATGAGGCCCTCGGCCCATGCAAGCTGCCTGTGCTGACCTGTTGTCATGGTGACCACCGTGGGAACTGAGCTGACCGGAAGACCAGTAAGGTTTGGGATGAGCAGGAAGCTTCCGTAGGAGAAAAAACCTGAAGTGGACGTTGAAGCAATGGTTCCATTTGGATGGGTCACAGAGAGGGATCGGCATCTGGGGCGGGGTTGGCTCAGGAACCTAAGAAAGGAGTGGGAGACGCTGTGTGCATGCATGCGCGGACCTCTCCACCTAAGCAAAGGCCCTGGAGAGCCTGGTGAGCTGAATTAAGAAGAAGGCTGGACAGCTGGGCTGAAGTTAAATTCACTAGAAACTCCACAGCGAGTTTAGACATGGGATATGGTTTGGCTGTGTCCCCACCAAAATCACACCTTGAATTGTAATCCCCGTAATCCCCAAGTGTCACAAGAGGGACCCTGTGGGAGGTAATTGAATCATGGGGGTGGTTTCCCCTAAGCTGTTTTCATGATAGTGAGTGAGATCTGATGGTTTTATAAGCACCTGGCATTTCCCCTGCTGGCACTCATCCTCTCTCCTGCAGCCCTGTGAACAGGTGCCTTCTGCCATGATTGTAAGTTTCCTGAGGTCTCCCCAGCCCCGCGGAATTTGAGTCAATTAAACCTCTTTTCTTTATAAATTACCCAGTCTCAGGTATTTCTTCCTAGCAGCATGAGAACGGACTAATACAACGTGATACAATGGAAAACGAGAAGACATTAAAATCGTTGAGTAAGGGAATAATTCACAAAACAAGGATGCTTAGGAAGGATGAACCCAGCAGGAAGGAGTAAAGCTGTGCTCCTCAAACCTTCCGTCGTGAAGGGCGAGTTTTCTTCCAATCCATCACTGACCAGTGCTGCTGTAATAGATGGTAGAAATAAATTTCTAGAACACGAAGTGGAAACAAGACCAACTACAAAAATACAAGCCAAAATTTGTATTCTTAGATCCAAACATACATAACATTGCTCTAATTGTCATAAACATTTTTGAACTCTTATCCCAATTTCTGCCTGATCATCACAGACCCACGAGGAGCCACTGGTCAGAAGACAATCCGTGGCAGAGGGCTTCTGAAGAGGAGAGGGCGAGCCTAGCAGGGAGGGCAGAGGAGGAGAGGAGCAGAAAAGGTGCCCAGGAGGCCACCGCCATCTTCAGGGAAGCAGAAGACAAAGGTGGTGAAATGCAGATGGCGGAGAGAGTCACACGTAAGGTATTTTGAAATGTAAATTGATGGTGAGGACAATGAGCTATAGCTAAATAAGGAGCAGCTGACCCCAAATAAAATGTGACGTTAATAAAATGGCGTTGTTTATAGAAATGGGAGGAACAGGAGAAAGGTGCCCCAAATGGAAGAAATAACCGCATACTTAGAGTGAATGCACCTGAAATACTGTATCTTCTGGACTTCGGGGTCTTACAACATCGGGTTGCATTTCCACCCCCGCCCCACAATTGATAGAGAACAAGACGTTACTTTGCTAAGTACTGCCTTTGTGACTAGAATTACAGACTGAAAATATCAACACTACTAAATTACAGTAAATTTTGTGGGCCAAAAATAAATACTGTCATGATAGGGAAAGTATTACAAGAAAAACTCTTGGCATATGTATTTTTACAACTCCCTAGGTAATTACGATGTGCACCTCAGCTGAAAAAGTCATTGCATCACTTTGATGAATATTAGGTAAGAGTAAAAAGGTAGAGTGGTCAAACGGATATAACTTATTTTAATGTACATATGTAAATTGATATACCAAAAAGATAACAATCTTTGTAAATTAGCAAGCTAAGAAATGCAAATAAGTCAATCCATACCTCTCTATGGATGTAAAAAATAAAACCCTCTTGCTTTAAAAAAAAAAAAAAAAAAAAAAAGTGAAGGATTCTCCTGGCCACAGGAGGTCAGTATTGCTTCAAAACAAAATTACCCTAAATCTCTGGGGGCATAATGGTCTTTTAAAAAATGGTTATATTTTCTTCTTAAAAAAAAAAGGTTAGTTTTTGATATGTCTGATTTCTAGGCTTTACTGAGTGACAGATGGTTACAGCATGTGAAAAAATATCAACTTGTTAAAAAATCAACTTGTTAAAAATATGTATTTCATGCAAAATTGAACTTGGAGCCTCCTCATTTAAAAGCAATCCTAGAAATTAAGAGAAGGGAGAAAATTATATATATGTCAGAGAGGATGCATGTGTTCAATTCAACACAGAGCTCAGTGCCAAGGAAAAATGAGAACCATGTCTTCAATTTCTCACTTTGTAACTGAAGAGGTCAGATACACACTCATGACATCTTTTGGTAAAAATACAAAAATGAAAAATAAATGCTGTGCTGTAGACAGTGATGGTAGAGAATAGTATTGACTGAATCGTTGCAATGTCCTCATTATAAGATTGAGAGAAATGAGAAGTAAAGACATGACAGAGGGAAGGAGAGTTGGATCACCATGAACATACGGGTGAAAAATTATAAGTAGCCTGTTGAGATCTTGTGGGGATGATTGGACCAGCATTTGGGGATGTTGTGTAAGACGGAATCACACACATTGCCCAAGTTCCAGCCTTATTTGAAACGTTCTGATATTCATTCATTCATTCATTGCTCTAGACAAAGTTTGGACAAAAGCAAACAAAGCCCAGCCATCATGGAGCTGTGTTAAGTGAGTAGACAAATTCCTGGATATGCAATTCTCTACCTTGTGATAAAGGCTCTGAAAGAACAGGGCAGAGTGATCAGAGAAGGCTTCTTCAAAGAAATGCCATTTAAGCTGAGACCTGAGGACGTTCAGGCCAAGAGATGGGGATCAGACTGCAGGTCTTGAAACCCCAAGGCCAGCGTGACTGATGCACAGTGAATTAGAGGGAGAGAGAATTCTGGGTCTCAAGGAGTTTCGATCTTATCCCAAATGCAATGGGAAACCACTGGATGAAACTGGAATCATGTGATCTAATTTACACACTTTTTAAGAAGTATTTTGGGCCAGGCACCGTGGCTCATGCCTATAATCCCAGCACTTTGGGAGGCCAAGGTGGGCAGAGCACATGAGGTCAGGAGTTCAAGACCAGCCTGGCCAACATGGTAAAACCCTGTCTCCACTAAAAATACAAAATTAGCTGGGTGTGGTGGCGGGCACCTGTAGTCCCAGCTACTCAGGAAGCTGAGGCAGGAGAGTCACTTGAACCAGGGAGGCAGAGGTTGCAATGAGCCAAGATCTTGCCACTGCACTCTAGCCTGGGTGACAGAGCAAGACTTCATCTCAAATAAATAAATTAATTAAATGTCAAAGTATTTTGGCTGCTGTGTGTGTGAATGGGAAGGGGATTCAGCAAGAATGGAAATGGAGAAACGCAAATGTGCTTAGGAAGCTAGTGCGGTTGTCCAGGAAGATGATGCCTGGGAAGAAGAAAGCAAACAGATTCCTGGCATTTAAAAGCAGAACCAGAAACTCTTATTGGTGGGACAGATGAGAGAAGCCATATTTTTACTCACCCCATATGAGTGTATGCATTTCTGCCTCTACTGCTGAAACCTACAGAAATATTAACCTTTCCTCTTAGAAGTAAAATTATTAAATGATCAGTTTATACAAAGAAGTATCAAATAATAAATCAGTGATTGTGTTGATTTATGTACATAAAATAATATCAATTGAATGCTATGACTTTTTAATGATAATGAAAACAAAATTATATTCAGCCAAATGCTTTTACAATTAAAGTTTAATAAAGAAAAGATTAAAAGATGATTATTCCTTTGACATTCTGATTTTATATCCATTGTTCAAAGTCTCTGTTGATTTTTTCTCTTAGAAATATTCATAGAAAATGAATATATTGAGTTCAAAAATATTCACCTCAAAATCTGTACAGTCACATTTCATTTCCATCCTACAAGAGCATTTTCAACAACGTGCAAGCACTGTGATAAGAGTATCTTCCTCAGCCAGGCGACTAACATGGGAGATGATGTGTCTGTGGATGCTTCTAAATCTTATCTAAAGTACAAGAACTAAGATGCTTCACGTGGGCAAAGCTGCTCTCCTAAATTAGTTCTGGACTTTCTAGTGAAAATGGAAGTTACCTGGGCAAGCTGGTTTTCACTAAGCAGAACCAGATTGTCAACTCTTATGCCTGGAATCTTAAGTGAATAGATTTCTTTTTTTTTTTTTTTTTTGAGACACAGTCTCCCTCTGTTGCCCAGGCTAGAGTGCAGTGGCACAATCTTGGCTCGCTGCAACCTCCATCTCCCGGGTTCAAGCAATTCTCCTGCCTCAGCCTCCCAAGTAGCTGGGACCACAGACACAGGCCACGACTCCCATCTAATTTTTGTATTTTTAGTAGAGACGGGGTTTCACCATGTGGACCAGGCTGGTTTTGAACTCCTGGCCTGAAGCAATCCACCTGCCTCAGCCTCCCAAAGTGCTGGGATTACAGGCGTGAGTCACTACCACCCAGCCAGTTTTTTTATTTTTAGTAGAAACGGGGTTTCACCATGTTGGCCAGGCTGGTCTCAAACTCCTGACCTCAGGTGATCTGCCCACCTCGGCCTCCGAAAGTGCTGTGAATACAGGTGTGAGCCACCATGCTCGGCCAAGTGAATAGATTTTTTTTTTTTTTTTAAGACAGAGTCTTGCTGTTGTCCAGGCTGGAGTGCAGTGGTGATCTCGGCTCACTACAACCTCCGCCTCCCAGGTTCAAGGGATTCTCCTGCCTCAGCCTCCCGAGTAGCTGGGACTAGAGGTGCCTGCCACCACACCCAGCTAATTTTTTTGTATTTTTTTTAGTAGAGACGGGGTTTCACTGTGTTAGCCAGGATGGTCTCGATCTCCTGACCTCGTGATCCACCTGCCTCGGCCTCCCAAAGTGCTGGGATTACAGGCATGACCCACCACGTCCAACCCAAGTGAATAGATTTCCAAAGGTGTTCCTGGCAGGTGCCAGGTGGAGACTTCAATGTGTGGGGGTTTGGGGCACTTTTAAACTATAGAACATAAGGATAACAAGGCAGTTAACTATAATGACTGCAATTTTCCTGTAGAAGAGTTGAGCACAAAAAGCAAACAAGGCACTGAGCAGTCTCTGTTGAATGCCAGGGGTGCGTTTAGAACCCCTGGTTCTAAACTTGGTTTAAGCTTTAAGCCTGGTTCACATAACACTTACCTGGATCTGGTCCCATAAGACTCTCTCTATGCCCATACTTTGTATACTGCCTTGTCCACATCACTGTCTCTATTCTAAGGAACAGCCCAATAATTCTTCACGCCTCTCTTTCTTGATTGTTATACGAGTAAATCGGGATAATGGTTTTAAAGTGCTTTGAAAAGATGAAAAGTGCAACAGAAATGCAAGACGTTATAATTAATTATGATTTTTTGTGATTCATCTATTACATTTTATTATGACTATCGACCTTATTATCTAAATATAGAATAGGTATATAACTATGTTTTATATTGTGTAACAGTACAGATTGTTTATTCTTAGTCCTCAACAAAGAAATGAATACTAAAATCTCCTTAAAAGATTTTTTTTTAACTATAGCTATTTTGGCTTTATCCCAAATCTTTAAATCTGACTTTCTAAGGGTGGGATAGAGGCATATGTGTTTTTACAACTCCCTAGTAATTCCGATGTGCACCTCAGCTTAAAAACATCACTGCATTACTTTTGTGAATATTAGGTAAGAGTACAAAGGTAGTGGTTAAATGGATATAACTTATTTTAATGTGCACATATACATTGATATTCTAAAAAGATAACAATCTTTCTAAATTATCAAGCTAAGAAATGCAAATGATATCAATTAATCTATACCTCTCTATGGATTAAAAAAAAAAAGCTGTGCCATATATAGATTGTGCTTCTCTGCTTCACCTGTCACTCACTACTATAGTACCTCTGTATCTCTGCTTCCCCCCTAAAACTGGAACTCTCTCCAGAAGGCATCTCAAAGGTAATCAAAAACACATTCCCATCTACCAGTGTGGCAACTTCTGTATCTCTGCCCCCTTCCAATGCCTCTGCTGTGTGTGAGCGCTCCTGGCTGTCACTAGCGCCATCACCCATCCATGCCAGTTAAGATCCCAGTGCCAGTGCTGCAGGGCACGGAGTCCTCGCTTGGAGCCAAAGCCACTGCACTGCACTGGCCCTAAGGTCACTGAGATCTGCGTGCTGGCCCCTGGGTGCACACAGCGCTGCGACATCCTGTGTTACGCAGTGACGTGGAGAGAATCTCCCACCCCCTCCGCCACACACACCTCCCCGTCTAGGCTTCACTTCTGTGTTGGTTTCCCAAAAGTGCTTCTTTACACTCCCAGTGCCTCTCCAAGATTTTTATAAAATTAGCTGTATCTGTTTTTAGTCCCCAGACTTGAAAACCTCATGTGAAGGATGAGTGTGTAGACAGAGGGAGAAGATCTGAGGCTAAGAGGGTGAGAAGGGCTGAGGGACAGCTGACACCTGGGGCGTTTCTGTCTTGCCTCGTTTGGCTCCGTCTGCTCCTCCCTATTGTCAGGAGCTGCTCCTTAGAAAGGGCTGCTCCCTGGGCCTGGCAGAAATGCTTGAGTTCTAGTGTGACCCCAACATGAGTTTAGGCTGTGACCCTGTTAGGAAAGGGGTCTCAATCCAGACCCCAAGAGAGGGTTCTTGGATCTCTCTCAAGAAGGAATCCAGGGTGAGTCCATAGAGTAAAGTGAAAGCAAGTTTATTAAGAAAGTCGAGGAATAAAGAATGGCTACTCCATAGACAGAGCAGCCCTAAAGGCTGCTGGTTGCCCATTTTTATAGTTATTTTTGATGATATGCTAAACAAGGGGTGGATTATTCATGTCTCCCCTTTTTAGACCATATAGGGTAACTTCCTGACGTTGCCATGGCATTTGTAAACTCTCATGGTGCTGGTGGGAGTGTAGCAGTGAGGACGACCAGAGGTCACTCTCGTGGCCATCTTGGTTTTGGTGGGTTTTGTCCGGCTTCTTTACTGCAACGTGTTTTATCAGCAAGGTCTTTATGACCTGTACCTTGTGCCAACCTTCTATCTCATCCTGTGACTTAGAATACCTTAACCATCTGGGAATGCAGGCTGGTAGGTCTCAGCATCATTTTACCCAGCTCCTATTCACGATGGACTTGCTCTGGTTCACATGCCTCTGACAAACCTACCCTTGCAGATGTGGGATTTGTCCCTGATTTGCTGTGGGAGAGAAATCTGACAGGCCAGTAACATCATAAGAAAAATTATGGGAAAACCTGTTTTATTTACAATTAAGCATATAATTTAGCCCTTACATACAAAGAACTGTTCCAATATTTATCTTTCAGTTTTCATAAACATGTGATAAATCTATACTGGTATTCTTTTCCCCTTCTTCTTCTACTCAACGACAACTTTGTTATGGAGTTAAAAAATTCTGACCACTATGCAGGTCTGTTAACAAAGTGTGGGCCGGGCGCAGTGGCTCACACCTATAATCCTAGCACTTTAGGAGGCCAAGGCAGGTGGATCACCTGAGGTTAGGTGTTCGAGACCAGCTTGACCAACATGGAGAAATCCCATCTCTACTAAAAATATAAAAATAGCCAGGCATGGTGGCGCATGCTGTAATCATAGCTACTAGGTAGGCTGAGGCAGAAGAATCACTTGAACCCGGGAGGTGAAGGTCGCGGTGAGCCAATATCACGCCATTGCACTCCAGCCTGGGCAACAAGAACAAAACTCCATCTCAAAAAAAAAAAAAAAAAAAAAAAAAAAACACAAAAGTGTGTCAGGCCAGGTGCGGTGGCTCACACCTGTAATCCCAACACTTTGGGAGACCAAGGTGGGCAGATCACGAGGTCAGGAGATCAAGACCATCCTGGCTAAAACAGTGAAACCCTGTCTCTAATAAAAATGCAAAAAATTAGCCAGGCATGGTGGCACGCACCTGTGGTGTCTGCTACTTGGGAGGCTGAGACAGGAGAATCATTTGAACCTGGGAGGCAGAGGTTGCAGTGAGCCAAGATTGCACCGCGGCACTCCAGCCTGGGCGACAGAGCGAGACTCCACCTCAAAAAGCAAAAAAAAAAAAAGAAAGAAAGGGTGTCAATAAAGCCTTCTTTGTCAGTGGCATGTCTCCTGGCTCTGTAGTATAGTAGGCACCCATGTCAGACATTATTGGTCAAGCAACATCTGTACTTATTCCTGATCTCTGTGGGAGAGGGAAACTCTGGGCTAACATCTCATTAATGAATGCAGAGTTGGGGAGTGTGAGGCTTCCAGTTGCAGATAAGCATCAGAAATGCCTCTAACCTTGCAGCTCTGACTGTCCCAAAAGCTCTCCATCAGGCTTACCCCATTAGGTAATTGGTGTCATTTCCCAGGCTGTGACATGTATGCAAGCATACGTCTTAATTTACAGAGAAGGGAAAGAGGACTATAAATTGGTCTGGTAACTCCTCCATCTGGCTACAAGTCAGAGAAGATGCAAGCGTGATCTCAAACAGTTTACAAAAAAACATATTTATTTTGAGATAATTTCAGACTTACAGAAAAGTTGCAAAAAAAGTACCATGAATACCCATACAAACTTCAACTGGATTCCTAAATATTGACATTGTATCATGTTTGCTCCATCATTCTCTCTGTATCTTAATGGGTCTTTTTCTGAACAGCTGAGGAGTAAGTTGCAGACATAATAATGCTTTCCTATTCCTAAATATTTCTGTCTTACTAACCACAGTACAATCATCAAAATCAGAAGTTAGCATTGATATACTACTATTACCTAGCAGGTAGATCTTATGCCAATTGTCCCACAAATGTCCTGTGTAGCAAAAGGAAGAAAACACAGTGTTTTAAGGCTTTTGAGTGGAGTCACAATGGCTCTGAGACCTTGTCCAGTAACAGGGACCACAAGAACTGTTAGGACCCAGTCTGCCACAGTCCTGATCTAAAATGCCCTTTGGTATTTAGGACATGGACATCTGCTGATCTTTTCTAAACTGAAGAGAGAAATTGAGGACATAGAATGTTGGTTATATGCCTTTTGTTTTTTTCTCTGTTTCTCTTTTGACCAACTTATTTTAATGCAGCAACTCCTCACAGACTGCCTGATACACCCAACAAATATCTTTAGTTCTGGGGGATAGAGAGTTGTATAAGATGTGGTTCCAACACCCCTGTGAATCAAAATGTTATTAAATAATCAGTAACTAAACAGAAATGAAATAGTAGTGTTAGGAATGATAAATTCCTCTTCAAAAGGTTTAATTGTCTAATGTTTTTGTTCTTTGTTGAAAAGCCCAACCTCCTTGTCGTCTCGTTTCTAGCCTGCAAACCATCCTCCCACTCTTGTTGCACCCTGACATACCCAGACATGTCCAGACATGCCTTTTACTATAATGGACAGACCACTCCTACCCCCTCCTTCTCTTACAAATCACACACTTACCCTATTTAGAAAAGTTTAAGTCTTAGCCAACCGGGATCAGTTTAGATTGTGTAGTCCAACCCTAGCCTATAAGGGAATGACACAGGGACAGGAACTGTGTTAGGGTTAAAAATCCCTTCCTTCCTTTGTTCGGTGTGCTCTTGTGGTCAGGACAGATGCGAGCAGCACCCTTCTGCAGAAATAAATGTGCCTTGCTGAGAAATTCTCTAAGTGCTGGTTTTTCCTTGTGGCACTGAGCACCTGTTTCTAACAGTAGTAAGGTTAATGGTGGCAGAGAACCAAGTTACCCCAAGTTACCAGCAGCGAATCTATACAGGTCCTCAGCAACTTCAGCCCTTGTCTCCTCAGAAGAAAGAAACTGGCCGAGGGGCATGAGGCAGAAAAAAAGACTGAGGCAATTTTCAGAGCAGGAATGGAAGTTTATTTAAAAAGGCTTTATGAATGATACAATGGACTTTGGAGACCAGGGCAGGGGGATGGGTAGAAAGGGGGCGAGAGATAAAAGACTACAAACTGGGTGTAGTGCATACTGCTTGGGTGATGAATGCACCAAAATCTCACAAATCACCACTATAAAACTTACTCATGTAACTAAATCCCACCTGTTCCCCAAAAACCTATGGAAATAAGAATTTTTTAAAAAAGAAAAAGCAAGAAGACTAAGAATAGTAACTATGCTGAAAAGAAATCTATGAGAAATGAATTTCAGGTTTTCTGGAAAGTTCTGACTGAATGACTGCACTATATTATTAGAGTGGTTTATTATGTAATTCAAGACTGTAATTATATAATATTCCAAATTAACTGTCACCAATAAAAATGCAACATTGTTGAAAATAGAAAAAATAAATAAAAAATAAAATGAGTAAATAAATAAATAAATTTTAAACATAAAAAGGCTTTAGAACAGGAAAGAAAGGAAAATTCACTTGGAAGAGACCCAAGTAAGCCCCTGAAAGTCCAAGAGAGAAAAGAACAAAAGGCTGGGCATGGTGGTTCATCTCTGTAATCCCAGCACTTCGGGAGGCCGAGGCAGGCAGATCACCTGAGGTCAGAAGTTCGAGACAAGCCCGGCCAACATGGTGAAACCCTGTCTCTACTAAAAATACAAAAATTAGCTGGGCGTGGTGGCATGTACCTGTAATCCCAGCTACTCGGGAGGCTGAGGCACAAGAATCGCTTGAACCCAGGAGCCAGAGGTTGCAGTGAGCCGAGATCGCACCACTGCACTCCAGCTTGGGCGACAGAGCAAGACTCAGTCTCGAGGGGAAAAAAAAAAAAAATAGAACAACAAACAGCACTTTAACCTTGATCCTGGGACTTTATAGACTCGCCTCTTTCCCATGATTCTCCCCTTAGGGTGGGCTTCCTGCATGCGCAGTGTTTTCCTCACCCTTTGGACTTGAGCACACCCCAGTGTGTTTAGGGATTTATGCGCATGCCCATCTGAGGCTCTCTTCCCTTTTCCAATGGTGTGTACCCCACCCAGAACATGGTACTTCGCCATTATTGTCTTTTAACAGGCATGCCCAGTAGCTTCTTCCTGGGGTCTGCATTCAGTTAACATTTTGATGTTAACAGGTGTGGACCATCAGGAAATGGCCTCTCCCTGGCTGCCAAATTATCATTTTTAAAGAAGCAATGTGATAATTGCCAAACCATCGCCTGACATTCCCAGTGGGTAGGGGCGAAGGAGAGCCCTCTCCTGCCCTGCTCATATGTAACTACCTGTAACAGGAAGAAGGAAGAATACAATATATGGTCGAGTGTTTGACAGACAACATGTCAAACGATTTATATACTTATTTATTTTTTACACAAATATGGTGTCATTTTTAATGACATTTGGCATTATTATCTCTATTTTATAAATGAGGAAATACAGGATCATAAAAATGAAGAAATCTTCATGCAGTGAGACACAGAGCCAGGATCTGAACCAAGGTTGACCTCCAAAGCCCAAGCTTTGTTCCATGAAAACAAGAGGTATAAACAGATAACACAGAGCAAATGTGAGAAGAGAGAAGTGGGGACACAGGAAGGCTTCCCAGGTCTCAAGGACAAAGGTATATTTGAGCACAGACTGAAGAATGGATGAGACTTTGAGGGTAAAGATGAAAGAAACAATCCAAAGGGGAAAGCCAGCGACTTGAAGGAGCTGACTGCAGTGTCCAATGCTTTGACTCAGCAAAACAGCCAAATCAGGTTCCCATGACAGGGCAGAGGATGCACAGCTTCTTGAAAGCTTGAGTGTGCCCAAGGGTCCTTGCAGTAACAGCAGAAAGCTCAGACAGATAATTCCTACCATTAGGCAGGAGACAGCTTCTCCCGGGGACTCGGTGGTTGATAAGCTTTCTTTTCACCAGGGAGCTTTTTCTGATGTCTTTTCTTAGGAGGAAGACTTGCCTATTTAAGATAAAGAGTAGAAGGCAGTACTGGGAGCACTTTTCTAAATTAAATAACTCCTCAGGGTGCCAGTCTGTTAAGTGTGGACAGAAGCAAAGAGGCAGGACTTGCTGGGCTCCTGCCCATTCATGAAGCAAAAATTGCAGAGCTCCCCAGGAAGCCACGCGGTTTTGTGGACGTCTAAATTTCTGACATAAAGAGATGCTATTTGTTTACTTTTTGCATATTCAAAGGAAAGACAGTAATGCATAATAGATTCAGCAGGACATTGCATCCTGTACAAAAATTTTATTGATCATACTATCACTAACTTCTCCTGAAAAATGACTATAGTAGCCTAATTGAATAATTTTCTATTGTAAATATTCAAATTATATTAGGGACTTAGATCAGCATATTTTGAAAGATGCTCCTTGTGAAGTTTGGAAAGGTACACGGAGTTCAGCTTTTTAAAACTACATTTAAGATCCAAGGCTTACTTCTTACCGTGGCTTACTCCTGTAATCCCAGCACTTTGGGAGGCCGAGACGGGAGGATCACTTAAGTCCAGCCTAAGCAACATGGTGAGACCCTGTCTCTACAAAAAATAAAGCATTAGCCAGGTGTAGTGTCATGCACCTGTAATCTCAGCTACTCAGGAGGCTGAGGTAAAAGGATTCCTTCAGCCCAGGAGTCTGAGGCTGCAGTGAGCTATGATCACAACACTGCACTCTGGCCTAGGCAATAGAGTGCAGTTTATCTGAGTTTAACTCAGCTTCAAATATAAAGGAGAAGCTTTGAGCACCCTAAACTGCCATGAGCTTAACCACTTACACACTGCTACCTCTGGCCACTAAGCCAGGAGAGAGAAGCAAGTATCCCTCGTTACATCCCAAGCTCCCTTCAGCTGTGAGACACAGGAGCTTCTGCTTCCCTCCCCACAGGGTAGGCTGTAGTCATTCCCCTCCCTCCAAGTTCATGAACACTGCCTGCCATTTTTTGTAGGTAAACTGCTCATTTATTAATCTTATAAAATCATGAATGAATGAACAACTAGTGAGTATGAAAAAATATGTGTTGTCCTATACAGGAAGCCTGAGATCACCAGCTCAGGTGGAGCCAAGAGGAATTTTGCCAGAAGCCCTATTCACGGTATGTTTTCTATTTGTCTCTCCAATATCTTCCTACATCTCTAACCACCACAGTGCAAGGATGGGAAGAGTACAAAGATCCTTCCCATTCAGTCGTCACTACGAAAGAGATTAATTCACATTCCCACTTAATTCAGGGGCAAGAACGCCCCATATGAAGGATACCTAATAACATTTCTACTTAACCTCACTAATGCAATTAAAGTGAGAAAAAGAAATAAGTGGTACAAAAAGTAGAAGATTGGAGATAATATTTCTATAAAATTCCTAATTTGTAGAAAATGTGTCACCATGAAAAATGCAAGCAAAACAATTCAAAGAGTTCAGCAACTACTTTAAACAAATAGTCCAGGTGCGGTGACTCAACCTGTAATCCTGGCACTTTGGGAGGCGAGGCAGGTGGAACACTGGAGCCCAGGAGTTCAAGACCAACCTGGGTAACATAGCGAGACCCCCATCTCTATAAAAAATACAAAAATTAGCTGGGCATGGTCGTACATGCCTGTACTCCTGGCTATTCGGGAGGCTGAGGTGGGAGGATTTTGGGAGCCTGGGAGATCGAGGTTACAGTGAGCCATGATTGCACCACTGCATTTTAGCCTGGGCAACAAAGCAAGACTCTGTCTCAAAAAAGCAAAAATGAAAAATCAATAAATAACAAAATAAATTATTTTATAATTAAGCTTATTTTAAGCTTATTTTTTAAACTTACAATTATTTTATAACTAAGCCTGAACTATAATAGGAAAAAAAGGAGGAAAAAGAAATAACATAAACTATAAGATTCAAATGAATAAATCTCTTTAAAAGTGGACAAGACCTTTATAGAAAAAACTAAAAATATCATTGAAGGACACACAATAAAGGATTGTGAATAGTAGAGATGTAATCCATGTTATTCAATGGTAAGACACATAGATACATTAGAATTTTACTAAAAAATCAGTGAAACTCCAATTTTAAAAATTGTAAGCAAGGTTTTTCTTATAACTGAACATGTCTATTCTTAATATAGAAGAGCAAAGACATTTCTAAAGACAAAACATGGCGGGGAAGGATAAGATCTTGCCTATTAGATAATAAGGATTATTACAAAACCATAGTCAATTAGGAGAGGGAGTTTGTTGCAGTACTAGGCAGTACTAAGTAGATCAGTGTTTCAGAGAGGCTGGAGACATACCAGTCTTTTCAATAAATCTGAGAAAATTGGTCATCCATATGGAAAATATTGTATCCCTCACTTACATCATATAAAGAAATAATTCAAAGCCTACTAAAATGCCAGGCATGAAAATCAAATCCATTAAAACATTTAAAAGAATTATAAGAGCAAGATTTTATGACTATGGTAGAAAATGATTTTTCAAACAAGATTTCTTTAAAACAACAAATGATAAAAAAGGTGTATTTGACAACATAAAAAATTTTTAAAACTTTCATGAAACAAAAGACACCACAAACAAAGTGAAAATAAAAGCACAAACTGGTACAAAAGATTTGCAATACTTAAAGAAAGGCAAGCGTTGGCCAGGTGCGGTGGCTCACGCCTATAATCCCAGCACTTTGGGAGGCTGAGGTAGGGGGCTAATCCAAGGTCAGGAGCTTGAGACAAGCCTGGCCAACATGGTGAAACCCCATCTCTACAAAAAAAAAATATATATATATGTATATATATGCAAGGCCAGGCCTGGTGGTGGGTGCCTGTAATCCCAGCTACTTGGGAGGCTGAGGCAGGAGAATCACTTGAACCTGGGAGGCGGAGGTTGCAGTGAGCCGAGATTGCACCACTACACTCTAACCTGGGCAATAACAGAGTGAGATTCCATCTCAAAAAATATATATATATATGCAATACTTAAAGAGAGTGTCCAGAATCCACAAAGGGTGATACATAAATAAGAAAGAGATAAACTATCCAATATAAAGAGAGATGGGGGTACAAACCCACAGTTCACAGATAGGAAACAGAGTCAAGAAACATTTGACAAGATGCTCAATTTCACTAGTAATATGAAAAATAATAGTTAAATGGAATACTGAAATTAAACCACTTTGTATCCATCAGAGAAGCAAAAAATCCGAACTCTAATAACAATAAGCATTGACAAAGACATGGACAAACTTCATTTATTTCAAGAGGAAAGACCATGGTTACAACCACTCTGGAGAACAATTGGGTAAGATCTCATAAAGTTAAAGGTATACTCAGAAATTCCAAAACACTCAGAAATTCTACCTCTAGGCCTAGACCACGGAGAAATTCTTGCATATGTAGACCAGAAGATACATACAGCTCATAGCTCTGTTGTTTATGATGATGGCAAAGCATAACCATCCTAAAAATCCATCAACAATCAAATAGATAAATAGATTTTTTAATTAACACAGGGCAATTACTATGTTTCAGGAATGTTCTATTTTTTTTTGTTGTTTTGTTTTGTTTTTGTTTTTTTGTGTTTTTTTTTTTGAGACGGAGTCTCGCTCTGTCGCCCAGGCCGGACTGCGGACTGCAGTGGCGCAATCTCGGCTCACTGCAAGCTCCGCTTCCCGGGTTCACGCCATTCTCCTGCCTCAGCCTCCCGAGTAGCTGGGACTACAGGCGCCCGCCACCGCGCCCGGCTAATTTTTTGTATTTTTAGTAGAGACGGGGTTTCACCTTGTTAGCCAGGATGGTCTCGATCTCCTGACCTCATGATCCACCCGCCTCGGCCTCCCAAAGTGCTGGGATTACAGGCGTGAGCCACCGCGCCTGGCCAGGAATGTTCTATTGTAAGAACGTTAAAAATATTAAATTATTTGACTTTCAAAAGAACTCTATAAGATAGATAGGTTTTTATGAATTTTAATACTTCCACTATTTTTAGTGATTATTTTCCCCATTTTATAGATTAGGATATGAAGACACACAGAAATAAGCCCAAGGTCACTCAGCTGATTAGAAATAAAGTCATGCAGTGGAACACTACAGAACAAAGGAAAGGAATGAAATAAAATTATATGTAGCATTATGGATAAATATCAAACCGTGAGAAAAAGTAGGTTGTAGACTGATACAGTAACATACCATTACATTAGTCTGAAAGATGCAAATCAATACTGCATGAGTTTCCTAGGGCTGCCATCACAAATAAGCATGAACTGGGTAGCTGACAACAGAAATGTATCCTCTCACCCTTTTGGAGGCCGGAAGTTGGAATCCAAGGGACCATCAGGGCAGCACTCCTTCAAAGGCCCTAGGGGTTCCTGCCTGGCCCTTTCCAGCTTCCGGTGGCTCCAGGACGTCCTCGGCTTGTGGCCGTATCACTCCAGTCTCTGCCTCCATCTTCACATGGTCTTCTCTTTTCTGTCTTGTAAGGACACTTGTTGGATTTAGGGTCCACCGGATGGTGGAGGATCATGTCTTTTCTATATCCACCAAGACACTTCCCAAATAAGGGCACACTCACAGGTTGCAGAGGGTCAGGATGTGGACATACCCTTTGGGAGGACAAGCATTCAACCCTCTACAAATATTGGCGGTAATTTACAGGTATTTACCTAAGTAATGAAAAGCCATTTTAAAAAAATCTCATGGAAATAATAAACACTAAACCCTCCCCTGGGAAAGAAAGGAGAGAGAGAGTAACAGGAGAGGAAGGTATTACAGAGGGGGTAAGTGTCTCTGTAATTTGTTCTCATTTAAATCCTGGAGCAAATATGGCATTTTAAATCTACAGTTAATATAGCAACATGTTGAGCTTTGATAGGGCTGAGGGGCACACACACACCTGTTGGCCATGATTTTCTCTGAAATTTTCTTTTTCTTTTTTTTTTTTTTTTTTTTTTTGTGACAGAGTCTCGCTCTGTTGCCCAGGCTGAAGTGCAGTGGTGTGATCTCGGTTCACTGCAGCCTCCATCTCCCGGCTTCAAGTGATTCTCTTTCCTCAGCCTCCGAGTAGCTGGGATTACAGGTGCCTGACACCGTGTCTGGCTAACTTTTGTATTTTTAGTAGAGACAGGGTTTCACCATGTTAGCCAGGCTAGTCTCGAACTCCTGACCTCAGGTGATCCACCCACCTTGACCTCTCAAAGTGCTGGGATTACAGGTGTGAGCCACTGTGCCTGGCTGATTTTCTCTGTAACTTTTTATAATTAAGAAATATTTCATAATGAAACAATGCAAAGATGTCCTCTGCCTTAACTCTATCATGGTATTTGGAAGAGTTACTTTTGACAGGTCCTTGTTGAACCTTGTCTGCAAGCTGTTATTAAACATCTATGGTATTATCCACTACTTCTCTCAGTCCTATTTGAATCGGCTCCAAGTCAGAGTTCCTCCGTGCTTTCCTAACTCACCTCTTAACATATACAGCCTTTCCTCTCCACCATTTAGTTTGCTTTAGATGTTTTTTTTTCTTATTAAGAACACCACTGCTCCAATAATGATGAACTGATTTCCAAATGTCAAAGACTAATCCAACACAGAAATATCAAAGCAAAGACTGCAGATAAGCAACATGGCTTCCTCGTGATGTTTGCTGTGCTTCTAGAAAACAACTTTTCTCATGAGTCTTTTAAATCATGTTTTATCTTTACAATAATGAGTACTCTTGCCTTCTTTGAGAACATCCTCACCTCTCCCAGAGAAGTAGCATCAGCAAATTGATGGGCTGAGACTTATTTCTCCTGGGGTGACCTGCCAATAGCAGAATCATTAGCACAGTCCCCTCTAAAGCACTACTTTTTTTCAATATTCTTTTAAAATTCTCCAGCCAAAAATGATGGGAATCATGATTATTCCTGGCCACTGCCATCTCTAAAGTGGAGTTACTCTTCTTTCTATACCCAGCCATATAAAATTAAGACAATCCACTGAAATATAATTACTCATGTTTTGAAAAATAAACAGCTAAAGTAAAGCTACAGCAGTTTTAGTAATGTGCTGTTTTATTTTAGGTGATGGGAAAACCAAAAGTTATACAACTATTTATGAGGTTCAATGATGAAAGTAACACATTATTTAAAAAATTAATCTGAGTAATCATGATAGTATGGAATTTAAAATTAGAGGCAGGGTGAGGTGGCTCACGCTTGTTATCCCAGCACTTCGGGAGGCCGAGGTGGGCAGATCACTTGAGGTCAGGAGTTTGAGACCAGCCTGGCCAACATGGCCAAACCATGTCTTTACTAAAAATATAAAAATTAGCTGTGCATGGTGGCACTCACCTGTAATCTCAGCTACTCGGGAGGCTAAGGCAGGAGAATCATTTGAACTCTGGCAGTGGAGGTTGCAGTGAGCTGAGATCACGCCACTGCACTCCAGCCTGGGTGACAGAGCAAGATTCTGTCTCAAAAAAAAAAAAAAAAAGAAAGAAAGAAAAAGAAAAGAAACGAATTTAGAATTTAGAATCAGAAGACTTTAATTCCTGGTTCTTCCAGTGATCAGCTGTGTGACATTGGACAAGTTAGTTCCGTAAACCTCAATGTGCAACGTTGGGCTAATGAAGTAGCTACCTGATAAGATTGAAATAGATATTAAAAAATAATAAATAGGCATTCCATATATCATAGCTCAGGCTGCCATACAAAATATCATAGACAGGGTGACTTAAACAACAAAAATGTATTTCTCACAGTTCTGTAAGCTGGAAGTCCAAGATCAAGGTGGCCACAAGGTGGTTTCATTCCGAGACCAATTCTCTTGGCCAGCAGATGGCAGCCTTCTCGCTGTGGGCTCACATGGCCTCTTATATGCCTGTGGGGAAAGAGAGAGGGCTCTCCAGTGTCTCTTGGTGTAAGGATACTGTATCTATCCAGAGCCCCACCCTTCTGACCTCATTTAACCTTATTTACCTCCTTATAGGCCCTATCTTCAATTATAGTCACAGTTGGGGGTTAAGACTTCAACATATCAATTTGGGGGAGACACAGTTCAGTCTGTAATACCTAGGTAATATTAGTATCAGATATTTTAAGGCAGCCACAGGACTGGGCGCAGTGGCCTGTAATCCCAGCACTTTGGGAGGCCGAGGCGGGCAGATCACCTGAGGTAGGGAGCTCAAGACCAGCCTGACCAACACGGAGAAACCCCGTCTCTACTAAAAATACAAAATTAGCCAGGCGTGGTGGCGCATGCCTGTAATCTCAGCTACTAGGGAGGCAGAGGCAGGAGAATCGCTTGAACCCGGGAGGTAGAGGTTGTGGTGAGCTGAGATTGTGCCATTGCACTCCAGCCTGGACAACAAGAGCAAAACTCCATTTCAAAAAAAAAAAAAAAAAGGCAGCCACAGTACTTCTTCCATGCGTGTTTGTTGTTTTTTATTGGCCTGACAGAAAAACCCATGAGAAATAAAAATGAAATGCTAAGCTCCTCAACTCACTGAATGGACCCCCTCTTGGTCCAGGGGACCCCAGAGTAACCTTGGAAACTGAGTTCTTGACCATGATGGAATGGGGTCAGACACACCTCAATGTGCCCTTCCCCTGCTGGCCACCATTAAGCTTTCTTCCCTAAGAGCAAAACAGAAACCAGTCTTTCAAATGATTCCACCGCTATTGACCAACCTGACACTGCCCACCCCTCCTTTTTGCCTGATAAGAGACCACGGACCATGGAGTCTACAAGGAATGTGCAGTTGGAATTTTTGTGTCCTCTGGTTCACCTTTTGAAGTCAGAAGGCCAAACACTCCACTCTCCGATCATGCTAACATGGCCATTTTCTGAACATGGATCCCTTGGAGAAGCAGGAAGCTTTATTGCTCATGCACATGTTTCCTCTTTCACAAAGATTCATGACTTCTCCTGTAGCTTATTAAACACATATATTCAGCCACTTCGTTCAGCATATATTCCTGTTCCTGTTGCCCCTCCCTCAAAATGTCTGTTTCTGGCTTCCCACCCTGTCAGATGGCCACCCTGCAGGCTGCAACCCTTTCCAAATTTATAAGCCTTGTCATTCTTCAGTTGACAACCATAATCCCTATGGCATAACTTGCACTGCATGAAAATTATATTGATAGGTGTAACCAAAATAAATAACTTTATTAAGTTATGTAATTAGAGGTATGTGGAATTTTTCACTCTGCTTTCTCATGAAACAAAGCATAATCATTTCAACGCTCCTACAAAATAGTTACAATCACCACTGTCATGTCTTAATGTTTTACAGTTGGAATAGTAAAAACTATGTCCCTGTAATATACTAAAAAGTTTTAAGTGCTTACCTAAGAATATCCTTTAATGAAAGATGTTTGTTCAGGTTTCTGCCTCAGCCTCTGAGTAGCTGGGATTAGAGGCACCCGCCACCACGCCCGCCTAATTTTTGTATTTTTAGTAGAGACGAGGTTTCACCATGTTGGCCATGCTAATCTCAAACTCCTGACCTCAGGTGATCTGCCTACCTCGGCCTCCCAAAGTGCTGGGATTACAGGTATGAGCCACTGTACCTGGCCCATTGTACCATTTTCTTACTATGAAGATGTTTATTTTTATTTGAACTTCCTGGGCAATAAAAATAATGTTACAGTTTTAAACACTGCTATATATATTTATATATTATACTTTTTGAAAAGGCAATGAATGACAGATCACATCAGTTTATACTTTTACCATATGAGCTGCCATTTCCTGATACCCTCACAAATACTGGTCATTATTGTTCCTTTTTACTCTCTGCCAAATTGGCAAGTGGAAAATTACTTAACATTGCCTTTCTTTGGTTTCTATTGAGTTCAACTTTTTTTTTTTTTTTTTTTTTTTAAGACGGAGTCTTGCTCTGTTGCCAGACTGCAGTGCAGTGGCACGATCTCGGCTCACTGCAACCTCCACCTCCCGGGTTCAAGCAATTCTCCTGCCTCAACTTCCCAAGTAGCCGGGTCTACAGGCACCCGCCACCAAGTCTGGCTAATTTTTGTATTTTTAGTAGAGACAGGGTTTCACCATGTTGGCCAAGATGGTCTTGATCTCTTGTCCTCATGATCTGCCTGCCTTGGCCTCCCAGAGTGCTGGGATAACAGGCGTAAACCACCGTGCCTGACCTGAGTTCAACTTTTTTCACACTTCTTGTTGTCCACCCAAGGTTTCATTTGTACAATACATATCTCTGATTAGTAGGGTTTTGTTAAGTACATGATGATATCTGCAATCTTGGGAAAGGGACTTTATGGGAGGTAACTTCACTATTCCTAAAACCTCCCAACTTGATTCTTCTTATTCTCAAAATATTATTAAATCCCACACTGACCCTGCACTGCGGCATCCTGAGAAAACTCCACCTGCACCCTCTGGGTGTGACACAATTCCTACATTCCATTGTCAGGCAGATAGTGAAGATTACTTAGTACTAGGTGGGGGGATGTTTTGTAGGAATTCCTGGGCTTCAGTTTAATCCAATGTTGAATGCCAGACCCTCCAAGGTGACACTTCCTCTTTCATCATGTGGACTTTTCATCCTTAAATCTTCTTCTAGCGTGTTGCTGTGTAATCCTCCTTGACTGAATAAACAGTTAGGACTGTATTTCTCAACTCAGGGAGAATTCCTATTGCCTCATGTCTGGATTTGTCAGAAGTCTCACCCAGCCTATTATAATCAATCTTTATTTTAGAAGCTGTTCTTTTTTCTTTTTTTCCCCCACAGGCTTAATTCACTTTATTTTTTGTGTATAAAACCCTGTGTTGTAGCCACAGCTGGAGCCTGGGTCCTCTGCACGGAGACTCTGGGTCGGCCTTGACCAGGTGTGGTCAGTGAATTCCTGATAGGAAGACTTGGTGAATACAGGCTCCTTCCAAAGGTCGGGGGGTCAGGTAGCTGTAGGTCTTAGAGCTGTAAGGTCAAAGATGGCCTTGGCGCAGTTGCCCAGGGTGGCAGTGCAGCCCCTGGCTGAGGTGTAGCAGACATCCATACCAGCCATCATGAGCAGCTTCTTGGGCACAGGCGCCGAGACGGTGCCAGTGCCCCTGGGCGTGGGGATGAAGCCGACCAGCACAGAGCCGCAGTGGCCTGTCACCTTGCAAGGGACGGTGTGGGGCTTGCCGATCTTGTTCCCCCAGTAGCCTCTGCGCACGGGGACAATGGAGAGCTTGGCCAGGATAATGGCCCCGCGGATGGCAGTGGCCACCTCTTTGGAGCACTTAACACGCAGACCGACGTGGCAATTATAGTCCCCGATGGCAACAAATGCCTTGAACCTGGTGCGCTGGCCGGCGCGGGTCTGCTTCTGCACCGGCATAATCTTCAAAACCTCGTCCTTGAGAGAGGCCCCCAGGAAAAAGCCAATGATCTCAGATTCCTTGATGGGCAGGGAGAAGAGATAGGTCTCCTCCAGGGACTTGATCTTCATGTCCTTGACCAGGAGGCCCAGCTTGGTAATGGGTGTCCACCCCTTATCCTTGGCCTTGACTCCGCGAGCTCCGCAGCCTCGGCCCTGGCCCGGTCCACGGCCAGATCCACGGCCGCGACCCCGGCCCGCATGCCACTGCGGAAACCTCAGCGGAAACCACCGCAGTTCCCCATCCCAGGGTCCCCCGGGGCTTCCGGCCCCCGCTGCACCGGCGTTATCCGCCATTTGGTGTTTTCTCAGAGAAGACGTAGAAGCTGTTCTTGTTCGTCATCACTACGTAACATCCTTTGTTTTAGAAGCTTTTCTATGTTCCTCATCGCTACGTAACTTCCTTTGTTTTAGAAGCTCTTCTATGTTCCTCATCACTAGGTAACTTCCTTTGTTTTAGAAGCTCTGCTATGTTCCTCATCACTATGTAACTTGTTTGTTTTAGAAGCTGTTCTAGGTTCGTCATCACGACGTAACATCCTTCGTTTCCTGTTCTTAATGGCTTTCAGAGAAAACCCGAAGTCAGAAGCACGCCGGCATCCACTTGCGGCCGCCCTGCCTGAATATGACATGGATGGGTGTGACCAACGTAGAGTCTTCAGGAGGCTCGGTTTGGTAACTTAGGCATAGTTAATACATCCACATCATTTTTCTAAATTCTATGTTCTTTCGTCTCTTTCTTCACATTTATTCATCTAAAAATGGAGGGAGAGGTTCAAAATTTTTTTAAAAAACACACAAGAATAGTGAGCCTTCTTCATTTGGAATTCATCCCAGTGTTAAATGAAAGAATATTGTGCAAATTTCCAGGAAAATGTCAATGATGACTGGCTAAATTGGAACAAATATCGAAAGACTCCAAAATGTTTACATCCCAGCTGGAGGCAAGTGTTTCATTCCCAGTCAGGGACGGGACAAAGTGAGACTGCAGCAGCGGAACAGGCGCAGCCGGGGTTCCAGCCCTCAGCATCACCACGGTGCATTTGTCCCTGAGGACACCAGGAGTTGTGACAAATCCTGTTCCTTTGCTTTTAGAGGTTTTGTTGTAGAAGCCATCCCCATTTTGACCACTCCAATAATACTGTAAGCAGAGTTCAAAAGCTGAAGCGGGTACACTGTGCCTCCAGGTTATGTTTGTGGATGATACCCTATCAGGGTCTGAATGTCGTCTGACAGTTGCATCATTTCCCTGGAAGAACACGTGTAGACAGGCCAGCCAGTGGCCCTCCCTGTACAGCAGTGGCTGTGGCAGTCAGTGTTGAGTGTGGAACTAGGACTGTGTGATCACCTCCCGGTACTTCCCTTTCCTTATCTTTTTTTTTTTTTTTTTTTTTTTTTTTTTTTTTTAGACAGTCTCGCTCTGTCGCCCAGGCTGGAGTGCAGTGGTGTGATCTCGGCTCACTGCAACCTCCACCTCCCGGGTTCAGGCGATTCTCCTGCCCAGCCTCCTGAGTAGCTGGGATTACAGGCACCCGCCACCATACCTGGTTAATTTTGTTTTGTGTTTTTAATAGAGACGGGGTTTCACCACGTTGGCCAGGCTGGTCTCAAACTCCTGATGTCAGGTGATCCGCCCGCCTCGGCCTCCCAAAGTGCTGGGATTACAGGCGTGAGCCACTGCGCTGGGCCTAATTTTTTGTATTTTTAGTAGAGACAGGGTTTCGCCATGTTGGCCAGGCTGGTCCTTATCTTAACATAAAGAATGATAAGGACTTCCTCACAGACTGTTGAGAGAATTAAATAAGTCAACACACATATAGTACTTAGAGGAGTGTGCAGTAAATATTAGTTTAATGATGTGAATACACACACAGGCATACTTGATAAAGCCTAGTGAATATTTGATCTGTCAGTAACAAAATATTCAAAAGACAGCAATGAAGATCAGCAGTTTCTTTTATAATTCAGGAACTAGATAGCCACAAGCAATACAGTTTCACTTTGACTTTCAGACACCACTGAAACACCTGTGCTAGTATTCAGGCTAAAGCTCTTGAAGAGGGTAAAATATTTTCTCCATCTACCTACCTCTGGCCACAAGCACTTATGTGAATTGGAACTCAGGAAATGGTCAAAATCGATGTACTCACCCCTATTTATATGAGTGTTGATTTAAATAAATTATTGAGATAATTTAACGCATTGATTGTTCAGATTAGAATTAAACAGAGTGACCTTTGAAAATTTCATCTCATGATTACTCTTCATGGTACCTACCATCAACTCTTTTCTTAACCATTGCTCAATACTTAATCCGCACTCCTAGTCCTACCTTCTAGCTTGAAGTTATCATTAAACTAAATAACAGCCTTTAAATGAAAAGCAGGATGATACAGTCTCATTATCTAAATACATAAATCATTTGGTTTTAATGCCACCAAAATCCATCACCACAGTAGCAGTGCCTTTCCCTTGTAACATGGACATTGTTTCTAGGTACTTGTTCTTCTAAGTCAGAAATGCTCTTCCATTATTACATACTTCATCTGTGACAACCATTTCTGAATTCAGGTTTTGTTTGTTTGTTTGTTTTTTGGAGACAAGGTCTTGCTCTGTCACCCAGGCTGGAGTGCAATGGTATGATCTCAGCTCACTGCAGCCTGGACCTCCTGGGCTCAAGCAGTCTGCCCACTTCAGCCTCTTGAGTAGCTGGGACAACAGGTGTGCACCACCATGCCAGGCTAATTTTTTTTTTTTTTTGTAGACGTGAGGTTTCAGCATGTTACCCAGGCTGGTCTTGAACTCCTGGGCTCAAAAAATCCACCTGTCCCAGCCTCCCAGAGGGCTGGGATTGCAGGCGTGAGCCACTGCACCTGGCTGAATTCTTGTTCCTAGTGGCTTTGGGTCCTAAGAAACTTCTGTTTGTTTGTTTGTTTGCTTGTTTAGAGACAGGGTCTCATTCTGTGACCCAGGCTGGAGTGCAGTGGCTCAATCACAGCTCAATCTAACCTAGAACTCCTTGGCTCAAGTTATCCTCCTACCTTGGCCTCCCAAAGTGCTGGAATTATAGGCGTGAGCCACCACACCTGGCCCTTAGAAACTTCGTAAACTATTCATTTGGGTGAACCTAGAAACACCTTAGTAGATCCATTAATTCATTTATTCAACCAACATTTGCTGAGCCCCTGCTCTGCTTTGAGCTCTCCTCTAGGAAGTATGGCAATGCACGCAGGGGCAAGTCTGCATTCTCCCATGTGAGTGAGGGCTTCACCGTCTCAGGTTGAGGTGGAAATGCAAGGGGCTGCGGACAGGAAGAAGCAGATAAAGGAAGGGGACCTGCTTTGCTGGCTGCAGGTACACAGTCAGCAGCTCTGACATGGGAGCTCTCCGTCAAGACATCATCGCAGAAGAGATGATTCTTCCTGCGTCTGGGACAACAGCATATACAGTCTCTACCAGATGGCACGGACAGTTTATGGAGGTGGATGTGTAAAGAAAACATCCTCCTCACCACTCACACCCCTCCCCTCACAAGCCTCAAAGCAGCTCAGAGCGTTCTGCAAAGAGGAGGCTCTGGTAGTGCCGCAAGCCCTTGCCTCCTGTTTACATGGCAGCGACTGTCACTCTTTTCCCCAGAAGAAATTTTGCTGTACTCTTCGAAAAGCAAATTAGGAAAGCATTCCCGCTGGCAAATTGAATGTGTCTTCCTGCCATTGCCAGCAGTGCCAGGGAAAAAGAATTGGGGAAGAAAATCAGGGTTTTTCCCCACAACCTCACCTATGCTTGAGTGTTGGTATCCACCTAGAAAGAAGAGTGAGTTTAGTGCTCAGTAACAGTCATGTTTTACCCAGAGCTGGTGGGCAAAGGCCTAGATGTCTGGCCTGCTTTGTCTAATTCTAGAGCTGAGGCTAGAGGAAAAGGCCCTTTCTCTGCGTCTTAGTATCTTCCTCCAACCCAAGATGACAATAAAACACACTTACTTATTTACATAGTTTGGATCTGCCCAAATCTCATGTTGAATAGTAATCCCCAGTGTTGGAGGTGGGGCCTAATGGGAGGTGATTGGATCATGGGGGTGAATTTCTTCCTTGCTGTTCTCCTGATAGTGAGTTCCACCTCAAAAGGGAGCTACCTAGTAAAACTGTCTTGCTGCCTATCAGGGTCTTTGAACGCATTCAGTGTTGAGGAGCAGTGTGACCATGTCAAATTTTGTGGCAAGAAAGTCCCTCCCTGTGAAAGACCATCCACCTGGCCTGACAGCAAAGCTGCCATGAATTTTCAAAAGCCAGTCCAGCTGACAGCCGGGAGGAATGCATGAGTCTCTAGCAGCCCAGAAAGGTAATGGAAAACAGGTCTTTGAAAATGACACATTTTACATTAGAAAGGCATTGGTATATACTAATGTTTTAATTCTTCAACACGTGATGCCACAGTCTCTGGATGTCTTCTGGAAAGACCTCTGTCACTCATACGCATGGTCATGGCCAGAGGAAATTAACCAGAGGGTAATGAGCAATTCCTACTGCTACAAAGAGGGCACCACTCATTGCCTACCAGACCCTCATCCAAGTGCTTTCATTAATTCATCTCATCCTCCAGTCCACCCTATGACGTCAGTACTTTGTAATCATCCTCATTTTCCGGTAAGGTGACTGAGGCTCAAGGTTAATGTCAACCGGAGATACTTACACCTGGAACATGAAGGGAGAGAGAAACAGAAATAAATAGAGATCTGAAGATAACAGAAAAGCAAGGAAATACCAGTAACTAGTGTCATATTACCTCCCTGCCAACTGAAGGGAAGTCCATTCGGATGATTAAAACATCTTAGGTATTCAATAGCTTATTTCTAGATAAATTATTTTTTATTTTAAAATACAAATAGAAACATAAAATAGACTAAAAACATGGTAATTAGTAAAGGTTCTTGTAACTGCCTTTGGATGTGTGAATTTGGTGAGGCTACAGGCTCCAGTGTTTCAGTCAAACCCTACTCTAGGGGTTGCTGGGAAGGTATTTTGTAGATGTCAGTCAATTCCGTAGTCAGTTGACTTTATTTGTTAAGGGAGATTATCCGAGATAATCTGGGGCAGCCCGATTCTGTCAGTTGAAGGATCTTAAAAGCAGAAATGAGGCTTCTCTGAAGAAATTCTGCCAGTGCATAGCAACTCCAGCCCCTTCTGGAGACTGCCCTGCAAATTTCAGACTAGCCTATCCAGCCCCATGGTTACATATCCAATTCCCTGCAATAAGCCTCTTAATATCTGTCTTCTACTGGTTCTGCTTCTCTGGTTGAACCCTGATACAGTTGTTAAAATGTTATTGTAATTAATGTATAAGGATGAATTAGTAGTATATTGTGCTGGTATAAAAGCTAGTACATTTAAGTGGTTTTAAATTTTTCCCTGTGTTCCCATTTACCTATGAACTTACACTGTCTCAGAGGAAGGACTCAGAAAATCATCTTGGTAAGCCCAAGTAAACTCTAAATGTAAATTCCATCTGAACAAATTATGAATGAGTGGAGTCTTAATAAAGTTGCAGAATGTTAAATGAGAGAGGAGAGAGTGAAAGATGCACCTTCTCTTTGATTTAAAGCATGTATTCACACACACACACACACACACACACATTTTAGAAGAGACCTACATGATTCCCATGTTTTCATTTATTCTAACAGCATTCACTGAATGCCAATGACATCCTGAACACCTTTCAGCTTTATGACTATATTAATCCTTTCTTGCACTGCTATAAAGAAATAGCTGAGACTGGGTGATTTATAAAGAAAAGAGGTTTAATTGGCTCACAGTTCTGCAGACTCTAGGAAGCAGTGTCTTCTGCCTCTGGGGAAGCCTCAGAAAACTTACAATCATGGCGGAAGGCAAAGGGGGAGCAAGCATTTCGCATGGTGGGGCAGGAGGGAGAGAGAGGGAGGGGAGGTGCCACACACTTTTAAATGACCAGATCTCACCGGAACGCACTCACTCTCAGGAGAACAGCACCAAAGGGGAAATTCACACCCATAAGTCAATCACCTCCCATTAGGCCCAGCCTCCAACATTGGGGATTACAAGTAAACATGAGATTAGGGTGGGGACACAGATCCAAACCAAATCAATGACTCTGCGTGTCATTCAACACCTCCACATCTCAGGTTCCTTCTCTGTAAAATAGGGTTACAAATTGTGCCAGCCTTGTAGGACCACAGTGATTGTTAAGTTAGTTAAGGTTTCCAAAGTGCTTAGAATAGTCTCACATGTGGTATGCAACATCTATTTTGTGGGCTGGGGAAGCTGGCAAGGACTTCACAGAGGAGGAGATGCTAGAAAGACTTGGATTGGGGAGGGAGCACGAGGTACTATCCTGAATCATGGGCAAACCGGTTGAGCGAAGCTTGGAGGCAGGAAGGAAGAAAGCTTGTGATAGTAACCCTAATTAAACCAGCCTGCCTGCCGTGAATGGTTCTTACTAGAATCCCCAGGAGAGAAGGTGAGGGCCAGATTTTGAACAAAGCAAAGCCTGGATTCTACCTCTAAACCACATATTCAAGTTAATCTTAAAAATGACAGTTCATGTTTTTCAAAAGGATTTTATGGTTAAACAAGTTTGGAAAACAGGGTTAAATAAAGACTAACAGGTTTCTTTCAAGCAGGATTTCCCCCAATGACCTTAATCTGCTAACACACTGCCAGAGGGGACCCACAGGCAGCAGTTCCCAAAATAGAGGACAGAATCCTCTGGCTTCAGAGCATCTCCCAGGAAAACTGTTCCGAGGTGCACACTCCTGCAAATGAAGCTTGTATTATCTATATTTTCTGCATTCTTGATGCTCTGGCATCTGGGGCCTTGCTGACAGGGGACAGACTGCCTCTCTGGGGGCTTGACAATTCTTAGAGATAGCAAACAACTCACCTGGGAGCCCATCCTTCATATGGAAACTAACAATCCAGAGCCAACACCCACCACATCTTCCACCTGGCACACATACCCCGGAGACAATGTTCATCTGCGCTCATCATCCAAGAGCCAGGTACCGGACAACTAGGGACAGCCTCTCTAGCCCAGAACCCACTGAAATTATTCAGGCTTACCAATCCTAAGCCTGCCTAGCCTTGCCTTTCCTGTGGAAGCCACAATAAAACTTCCTGCCCACACTCTGCCCCACCTCTCTCCTGCCTCCCGACACACCCTGGTGCTTCCTCGTGGGGCCCAGCAGGACACTTGCCCCCTCCTCTTGGGAACTGTTAGTAACAAACTGTCTTTTCCATACCAATCATCTCCCAACCTGTTGGCCTTACCATAGCTCAGTAACAATAAAACTACAATTTAAAATACTGGTGTTGGCAAGAAAGGACTTTCAAAGACGTTTAAGCAAAAGAGTAACATCATTATGTTTTAGAAATATTCATCTCACACATCCTCTCTATACTACATTTT